>NC_000012.12:46854067-47005582 GCF_000001405.40 Homo sapiens | reverse complement strand
ATGTAATCAAGTTGTGAGATGAGTTTAAGTAATTTCTCCCTTATTGAACATGAACTATAGCTCTAGAAGACACCTCGGGAGACCGTCTTGCCAAAGACTCTTCCTGTGGGTGAGTGGATGCCTTAGATCAAGAACGCCATGAGTGCATGTCTTCTTTTCTTAATTAAACCCAGAACAACAGGTTCTGGTCCTTTCAGAGAGGGGAAAGGACAGACCTCAGAATGGGTCCACTTATGAAAAAAAAAAAAAAACTGCCTAGAAACTTACCAAGCAGCCCCTATTTTCCCCATGGGGCAACAGTCACACCCCTTACAACCTCTGGAATATTCCAGAAGAATCTCTATTCCAGAGGTAGAGGCTGTGAAGGAGAAAGTAGATGTGTAAATGCTGTAGACACTAGGAAGCTATAGGGCTACCTTGGTGAACAAAGACTATTTTTTATAATCAAGCAGGTGGTCAATGTTCCCTGACTCTGAAGACTCTTATGGAGTCTTGAAAGGTAATTATTTCCCATGTCTTACTAACTTTAAAATGGTTGAGTCCTTTTTTAGCTTAGTAGCAAACCAAAAAATTACCTTGACAGTCTTGTGGAGTTGGTGAAGGAAAACAAGAAAAATGAATCTTATTAGGTGTGGAAAAGGCATTTCCCTTTCCCTTCTCACTTTGATCTCTGACCACAGCAGCTTCCCAGACCAAGGTTTTCAGTCAGTTGCTTATCAACTCTGGTGACGTGGCACGCTCACTAGGACATCCAGTTCACCAGCATCAGTGAGAACTTCCTTCTATCTGTTCCCTGTTTATTTAAGTGTCACATGTGTAGCTTCACTGATAACTGTGTTTTTATTCTAAGATAGATTTCTCCAAAACCTGGCATTAAATTTACTCTGCAAGCATGGAGACATAAGAAACAAGAAAATAACTTTAAACTTAGTTTACTTCTTTGAGGGCTGTATTAGGGACTTTCAGAATCCTTATTCAAGAACTCTTTTTTATCACCCCAAAGAGTCGAGTCTAAGGTGGATTGACTTTTAATTAAAAAATTGAAGAAACTATTGTGGCAGAAAATAATTATCTGTGATTATTTTTAAAGGTATAAAAATTAATTAAAAATTAATTATTTGTAAAGGTACAAATATCCCAGATGAACCAAGATGGAAATTATGCTTGATGCATAATATAGGGCACTTTCCACCGACTCATCTTCTCAAGGGAGAACATCTCTTCAAATGGAGGTATCTTCAAGTTCATAGACACCACATAGTGCATCTGAGCTTTGAATGGTTTTTCCTAAAATAATTTTACTTCTGAGAAAAATTACAGTAATAAACACTCACTGTAAGAGTTTGTGAGATATAGAAGCAACCTATGCAAGAGAAAATAAAATCCTCTGGCAAACCTTTAATTAGTGAAGACCACTGTTAACATTTTGATATTTCCTTCCAGTATTTTTCTATGCACTTGTTTTAGATAGTTAAGATGAAACTATATGAAATGTAACAGGGGTAACATTTTGGAAATATTAAATTAATACCTTTTAATTTATCTCTTTTTTCCTTGCATTCTTTTAAAGTGCAAGATAGATTCATAAGGCTTCTTGCTCCAGGGAGAGAGAGAGCTGGTAGTACCTTAGAAACCACTTTCTGGCCGGGTGCGGTGGCTCACGCCTGTAATCCCAGAACTTTGGGAGGCCGAGGCAGGCGGATCCCGAGGTCAGGAGATGGAGACCATCCTGGCTAACACGGTGAAACCTCGTCTCTACTAAAAATACAAAAAAATTAACCGGGCGTGGTGGCGGGCGCCTGTAGTCCCAGCTACTCGGGAGGCTGAGGAGGGAGAATGGCGTGAACCTGGGAAGGTGGAGCATGCAGTGAGCTGAGATCGCGCCACTGCACTCCAGCCTGGGTGACAGAGCGAGATTCTGTGTTTAAAAAAAAAAAAAAAAAAAGAAACCTCTTTCCTCCTTCTCAGTAGATTGTGCCACTATCTAACCAGGGGCTTAGACCAGAATCCCTGGAGTCAACCTTGGCCCCTTTTCTCCTCATACCCCACATTCATTTAATCAACACATTCTATTGGCTCTACCTTTAAAGTATTTATTCTATGTGACTTCTAACCATCTCCACTTATATCATCTGAGGCCAAGCCACAGTCATCTCTTGCCTGGACTAATGCAACAACCTCTACCATTTTCTTGCATCATCTCTTCCTTCTCTGCAGTGAATTTCCCACTCAGCAGTCAGATGGATATTCTTTTTTTTTTCTTTCTTTTTTTTTTTTTTTTTTTTTTTGAGACGGAGTCTCGCTCTGTCGCCCAGGCTGGAGTGCAGTGGCGGGATCTCGGCTCACTGCAAGCTCCGCCTCCCGGGTTCACGCCATTCTCCTGCCTCAGCCTCCCAAGTAGCTGGGACTACAGGCGCCCGCCACTACGCCCGGCTAATTTTTTGTATTTTTAGTAGAGACGGGGTTTCACCGTTTTAGCCGGGATGGTCTCGATCTCCTGACCTCGTGATCCGCCCGCCTCGGCCTCCCAAAGTGCTGGGATTACAGGCGTGAGCCACCGCGCCCGGCCAGATGGATATTCTAAAAGCAATAGAGTCTATCAGCACTCTGTTCAAGACTTCCAGATGGATCGTATTATCCTTTGAATAAAATCTTATGTTTTATAAAAATGATTCTCAAACATTTTAATCTCAGAATCCCTTTCACTCTGAAAAATTATTGAGGAAGGGCTCCAAAGAGCTTTTGTTTACGTGGGCTATATCTGTAAATATGTAATTTATTTAAAATTATAACTAAGAATATGTAAACATATTTATTTGTTAAATATTTTTAAAACAACAATAAAAACCTATTATATGTTAATGTAAATGACATATTTTTTATATATTGGGCAATAGAGTGAGACCCTGTCTCAAATATATATATATTTGAGCACCCATATATATATGGGTGCTGTTGCCCAATCTAGACTGCAGTGGCATGATCATGGCTCACTGCAACCTCTGCCTCCTGGGCTCAGGTGATCCTCCCACCTCAGCCTCCTGAGTAGCTGGGACTATAGGTGTGCACCACCACACCCAGTTAATTAAACAATTTTTTTTGTGGAGGTGGGTTTTGCCATGTTGACCAGGCTGCTCTCAAACTCCTGGGCTCAAGTGATCTGCCTGTCTTGGCCTCCCAAAATGCCGTGATTACAGGTGTGAGCCACTGCACCTGGCGTGAAAAAATATATATTTTCAAAAACAAAAATAATACAGTGAGGAGAATGACATTGTTTTACATTTTTGCAAATCTCTTGAATATTTGGTTTAATAAAAGACAGCTGGATTTTCATATTTTCTTCTGCATTCAATCTGTTGCAATACATTGTTTTGATTGAACTATATGAAGAAAATTCAACCTGGTAGAAAAAAGTATTTGGGAAAAGGAGGACCTTATGGAACCCCTGAGGATATCAGGGATCCCTCTGGTTCCCCAGACGACACGTTGAAACAGCTAACCTACAAAGTTCAACATGATCTGGCCCCTACCTGTCTCTTGGACTTTATCTGTAACCATCTCTACTTTCTCACTCTCTGTTCTAGCTCTGTTCTAACCTCCTGCCAGTCCTTGGACTCTTCAAGCAGGTTCCCACCCCAAAGCCTTTGGTCCCTGTGCCTGGAAACTCTCTAGTCTTGTTCTTGGATCCTTCCTTCACCTCATACAGGTGGCAGGTTAGATTTTATTTCACAGAGAAATTTGTTGGATTACTTTTTGAAAATAACACCTATATCCTCTCTTATTCTATTTTTCTCTGTCACTTTACCCTGCTTTATTTTCATAAAACTTACAAACTGGATTTGATTATTACATTGTATGTCTTCTGTACTAGAATTTAAACTCTATGAGGTCAAGACCTTTTTTTTCCTTGTATGCCATTGCATTTCCACACCTGAGAAGTAATTTTCACAAGAAATATTTCTTGAATGTATTAATTAATAAATAAGAAAATCACCAATCAGCATTGAGTCTCAAACCAGATGACTTTTCTCGCATCTTTAGATAATGATTTTAAAAACTGGGCTTTGTTGAGAGAAAGAGAAATTTCTATGTGATAGAGCTCCTCCTTTGACATATCAGAATGGATCATAGAGCTTTAATCTTGAGAAGTTTGAAAGTGTGCTTTTTTCCTGGTCTCGGAGATTGTGGGAAGAGGAAGGGGGATGTAGGTAGGGAAGATGTGTGGCTAAATAGCTGGGTTATGAGTTCTCCCTGCCACTGACTTTCCACAACATGAGAATATGTTAGGTATTTTCAGGGATATGGTGAGAGCAGACTTTGTTCCAGGTAACATCTGCGACCCCTAACAGTGAATGCTTCTCAAGCTGCATCAGAGTAATGGTGTCTATAAGCACAGTTAGTGAGAGAAAAGATTCCTAACTCTGATCTGTCTTGGTTCCTGTGAGACATGGAATATGGAATTGGGACATGGAAGTTGGTTGAAAGCATAACTCAGAAGTAGACCAGGGTGGGCTATGGCAGTACAATGAAGTGACAGCAAGTCCAGACTGCAGGGTGGACTGCCTCAGCCAGCAACCAAATAGGAATCAAAACCACAATGCAGGGGCCTGTAGCTATAATGGGGACAAAGTCACAGAGAGGACCACCATCCCAAATCAAGCCCAAAGCCAATGGTGCATCAGCTACAGGCACTGGGAGAAGCAAGCAGCCAAGGGAGGGACATCATTGTGCATACCAAAGTGGACAGAGGGCAGTTCAAGGGGCTGAGTAAATACCCAATTTCCACCATTCCCTCTTCCTGAGATCAATAAGGCCTTCTACCTGCTGTATACCTGGATGACACCTTGGAGTGTCAGCAGAGACAGGGCAGAAAATCAGAGTATTTGCCCAAAATAGCCTAAAAGGTTTTTATTGCAGAAATTAATGAAGTGTCCTTAGCTTACTGCATGGAGTAAATATAGACAGGGAAAGCCTGGAGGTCTAGTTCATGAAACTCTCTGCTATTTCATCTCCTACCTCTGGAAGGTCAACCGTTGTGTTGGAGCTCGCCATTGTCATTTTAATCTTTGGCATGAAATGACATTTGACAAAAGAAGAAACACCAGTGGGTAATAAACATACACATAGAATCACTTTTTATTATTTTTACAAAATCACTTTATTACTTTTATAATAATAAAGACAAACTAAAGAAACAATAAGGTACCTGATAAAGGGCCTTTTATATTGGCAAATATCTGTTGAATTATATTATCCAATATAGAAAATATGACAGTGAAATAGACACTCATACTCTGTTAGTGATGACACATTTCTGGAGGATAATTTGTCAATATTCATCTACTTCTAGCGATTAATCTATGAATACTGGCAGGGATAGTTAGTGACCATCAACTAACTAATCAATTTCTTATTTTATGCACTGTGTTTTTGCTGTTATACCCTAGAAATCTTTGTATAGCCCAAATCACAAAAATTTTCTCCAGTTTTTAAAAAGTTATATACTTTTAGGTTTTACAGTTTATCATCCATTTTGAAGTAATTTTTGTATATGGTGCAAGGAATAATTAAAAGTTCATTTGAAGACTTTTTTTGCATGTGGTTAGTCAGTTGTGCCAGCACTCCTTGCTGAATAGATTATCATTTCTCCACTGGATTGCCTTTGCAACTTTGTCAAAAATCAATTGATTACATGTGTGGGTCTATTTCTGGACTTTTTATTCTGTTTCATTGATTTTTTAAATCTATTTTGATGCTAATACCACATTGCCTTGATTACTATAGACTTATAATAAATCTGGAAATCAAATAGTTAAAGTTTTTGACTTTGCTATTCTTTTTCAAAGTTGTTTTGGCTATTCAAAGTCCTTTGTATTTTCATATGAATTTTAGAATTAGCTTGTTGATTTCTACAAAACAAGCTCGCTAAGACTTTGCTTGGCATTGCATTAATTTTATAGTTCAATTTGGGAAGAACTGAAACCTTAACAATATTCAATCTTCCTATTCATGAACAGGGAATATCTCTCCATTTATTTACATCTTTATTTTTTGATCAGTACTATTTTATAGTTTTCAGAGTACAGATCTTTTACTTGTCATAGTTATCTCTAAATATTCTCTTCATGCTAAGGGGAACAGCATTATTTTTTAAGAATTTCACTTTAATAGTGTTCATCACTAGTGTATAGAAATGCAATTGACTTTGGTACATTGGTCTTGTATCTTGCAACCTTGCTAAACTCACATAGTAGCTATACCGTAGTCCCCCCTTATTCTTCACTTTGTATGGTTTCAGTTACCTAAGGTCAACTGTGGTTCAAAAATGGAAAATTACAGAAATAAAGAGTTTATGAATTTTGAAGTGTGCGCTGTTCTGAGTAGTGTGATAAAATCTCTTGCCATCCCACTCCATTCTGCTCAGAAGTTGAATCATTCCTTTGTCCAAATGTATTCGCTCCTTACTTATTAGTCACTTAGTAACCATCTCATTTACAAGATCAACTGTTGTGGTATTTCAGTAGTATCACAGTTCAAGTAACCCTTATTTTACTTAATTGTTCTATTTTAACATTAGCTGTTGTTAATCTCTTACTGTGACTAATTTATAAATTAAATTTTATCTTAGGTATGTTTACACTGGAAAAAGGTAGCGTACATGTAGTATATATAGTTCGGTACCATCTGAGGTTTCAGACATCCACTGGAGGTCTTAAAATTTACCCCCCTGAAGATTTAAAAAAAAAAAAAAAAAGAAAAGAAAAACAACTGTCATGGCATTTTTGTTTATTCTATAAAATTTTCTCCAAGGACAGTCATGTCTGTAAAAATAATTTAAATTATTTCTTCATAAACTGAGCTAAATAATACCTCAAGCTACATAAGCTAAATACTACCTCAGCTGCCTCCAACAAATTTTGTATGCTGTCCTTTCATTCTCATTCAGTTCAAAATACCTTCTAATTTTCTTTTTGATTTCTTGTTTATAACATGGGGTATTTAGAAGTGTGTTATTTAACTTTCAGATATTTGAAGATTTTCCAGATATGTTTCTGTTGCTTATTTTAGAAATTTAATTCTGTTGTAAACAGAGAACACACATCATACAATTTGAGTAATTTAAAATCTATTGAGACTTGTTATATGGCCCAGAATATATCTTGGTAAATGTTCTGTATGCACTTGAAAAAAACGTCTATTCTGTTGATGATAGGTGCAGTATTATACAAATGTCAATTAGATAAAATTGGTTTGTAGTGTTGTTCGAATCTTTAGCTGTAATTGTGGATTTCTCTATCCTTGATTTTTTTTCAAGTATTTTGGAACTCTATTATTAGTGTGTAATTATTTAGGATTGTATTCTCTTAAACTAACCACTTAACTAATATGAAATGACCCTCTTTATCTCAGGTAATAATCTGTGCTCTGAAATCTACTTTGATATTAATATAGCCTCTCCAGCTATCTTTTGACTATGTTAACATGGTGTATCTTTTCCCATCTTTTTACTGTTAAGCTATTTGTGTCTCTATATTTAAAGCGTGTTTCTTTTAGGCAGCATATACTTGCATTTTTCTGTTTTAATCCAATCTGACAATCTCTGCCTTTCATTTTTAATTATTATTATTATTATGATACTTTAAGTTTTAGGGTACATGTGCACAATGTGCAGGTTTGTTACATATGTATACATGTGCCATGTTGGTGTGCTACACCCATTAACTCGTCATTTAGCATTAGGTATATCTCCTAATGCCATCCCTCCCCCCTCCCCCCACCCCACAACTTTCCCTGGAGTGTGATGTTCCCCTTCCTGTGTCCATGTGTCCTCATTGTTCAATTCCCACCTATGAGTGAGAACATGCGGTGTTTGGTTTTTTGTCCTTGCAATAGTTTGCTGAGAATGATGATTTTAAATTTCATGCATGTCCCTACAAAGGACATGAACTCATCATTTTTTATGGCTGCATAGTATTCCATGGTGTATATGTGCCACATTTTCTTAATCCAGTCTATCGTTGTTGGACATTTGGGTTGGTTCCAAGTCTTTGCTATTGTGAATAGTGCCTCAATAAACATAAGTGTGCATGTGTCTTTATAGCAGCATGATTTATAGTCCTTTGAGTATATATGCAGTAATGGGATGGCTGGGTCAAATGGTATTTCTAGTTCTAGATCCCTGAGGAATCGCCACACTGACTTCCACAATGGTTGAACTATATTACAGTCCCACCAACAGTGTAAAAGTGTTCCTATTTCTCCACATCCTCTCCAGCACCTGTTGTTTCCTGACTTTTTAATGATTGCCATTCTAACTGGTGTGAGATGGTATCTCACTGTGGTTTTGATTTGCATTTCTCTGATGGCCAGTAATGACGAGCATTTTTTCATGTGTTTTTTGGCTGCATAAATGTCTTCTTTTGAGAAGTGTCTGTTCATATCCTTTGCCCACTTTTTGACAGGGTTGTTTGTTTTTTTCTTGTAAATTTGTTTGAGTTCATTGTAGCTTCTGGATATTAGCCCTTTGTCAGATTAGTAAGTTGTGAAAATTTTCTCCCATTCTGTAGGTTGCCTGTTCACTCTGATGGTAGTTTCTTTTGCTGTGCAGAAGCTCTTTAGTTGAATTAGATCCCATTTGTCAATTTTGGCTTTTGTTGCCATTGCTTTTGGTGTTTTAGACATGAAGTCCTTGCCCATGCCTGTGTCCTGAATGGTATTGCCTAGGTTTTCTTCTAGGGTTTTTATGGTTTTAGGTCTAACATTTCAGTCTTTAATCCATCTTGAATTAATTTTTGTATAAGGTATAAGGAAGGGATCCAGTTTCAGCTTTCTACATATGGCTAGCCAGTTTTCCCAGCACCATTTATTAAATAGGGAATCCTTTCCCCGTTGCTTGTTTTTCTCAGGTTTGTCAAAGATCAGGTAGTTGTAGATATGCGGCATTATTTCTGTGGGCTCTGTTCTGTTCCATTGATCTATATCTCTGTTTTGGTACCAGTACCATGCTGTTTTGGTTACTGTAGCCTTGTAGTATAGTTTGAAGTCAGGTAGCATGATACCTCTGGCTTTTTTCTTTTGGCTTAGGATTGACCTGGTGATGTGGGCTCTTTTTTGGTTCCATATGAACTTTAAAGTAGTTTTTTCCAATTCTGTGAAGAAAGTCATTGGTAGCTTGATGGGAGTGTCATTGAATCTATAAATTACCTTGGACAGTATGACCATTTTCACGATATTGATTCTTCCAACCCATGAGCATGGGATGTTTTTCCATTTGTTTGTATCCTCTTTTATTTCCTTGAGCAGTGGTTTGTAGTTCTCCTTGAAGAGGTCCTTCACATCCCTTGTAAGTTGGATTCCTAGGTATTTTATTCTCTTTGAAGCAATTGTGAATGGGAGTTCACTCATGATTTGGCTCTCTGTTTGTCTGTTATTGGTGTATAAGAATGCTTGTGATTTTTGTACATTGATTTTGTATCCTGAGAATTTGCTGAAGTTGCTTATCAGCTTGAGGAGATTTTGGCCTGAGACGATGGGGTTTTCTAGATATACAATCATGTCATCTGCAAACAGGGACAATTTGACTCCCTCTTTTCCTAATTGAATACCCTTTATTTCCTTCTCCTGCCTGATTGCCCTGGCCAGAACTTCCAACACTATGTTGAATAGGAGTGGTGAGAGAGGGCATCCTTGTCTTGTGCCAGTTTTCAAAGGGAATGCTTCCAGTTTTTGCCCATTCAGTATGATATTGGCTGTGGGTTTGTCATAAATAGCTCTTATTATTTTGAGATATGTCCCATCAATACCTAATTTATTGAGAGTTTTTAGCATGAAGAGTTGTTGAATTTTGTCAAAGGCCTTTTCTGCATCTATTGAGATAATCATGTGGTTTTTGTCTTTGGTTCTGTTATATGCTGGATTACATTTATTGATTTGCGTATGTTGAACCAGCCTTGCATCCCAGGGATGAAGCCCACTTGATCATGGTGAATAAGCTTTTTGATGTGCTGCTGGATTTGGTTTGCCAGTATTTTATTGAGGATTTTTGCATCAAGGTTCATCAAGGATATTGGTCTAAAATTCTGTTTTTTTGTTGTGTCTCTGCCAGGCTTTGCTATGAGGATGATGCTGGCCTCATAGAATGAGTTAGGGAGGATTCCCTCTTTTTCTATTGATTGGAATAGTTTCAGAAGGAATGGTACCAGCTCCTCCTTGTACCTCTGGTAGAATTCGGCTGTGAATCCGTCTGGTCCTGGACTCTTTTTGGTTGGTAAACTATTGATTATTGCTTCAATTTCAGAGCCTGTTATTGGTCTATTCAGAGATTCAACTTCTTCCTGGTTTAGTCTTGGGAGGGTGTATGTGTCGAGGAATTTATCCATTTCTTCTAGATTTTCTAGTTTATTTGCATAGAGGTGTTTGTAGTATTCTCTGACGGTAGTTTGTATTTCTGTGGGATTGGTGTGATATCTGCTTTATCATTTTTTATTGCGTCTATTTGATTCTTTTCTCTTTTCTTCTTTATTAGTCTTGCTAGCGGTCTATCAATTTTGTTGATCTTTTCAAGAAACCAGCTCCTGGATTCATTAATTTTTTGAACGGTTTTTTGTGTCTCTATTTCCTTCAGTTCTGCTCTGATTTTAGTTATTTCTTGCCTTCTGCTAGCTTTTGAATGTGTTTGCTCTTGCTTTTCTAGTTCTTTTAATTGTGATGTTAGGGTGTCAATTTTGGATCTTTCCTGCTGTCTCTTGTGGGCATTTAGTGCTATAAATTTCCCTCTACACACTGCTTTGAACGTGTCCCAGATATTCTGGTATGTTGTGTCTTTGTTCTCGTTGGTTTCAAAGAACATCTTTATTTCTGCCTTCATTTCATTATGTACCCAGTAGTCATTCAGGAGCAGGTTGTTCAGTTTCCATGTAGTTGCGTGGTTTTGAGTGAGTTTCTTAATCCTGAGTTCTAGTTTGATTGCACTGTGGTCTGAGAGACAGTTTGTTATAATTTCTGTTCTTTTACATTTGCTGAGGAGTGCTTTAATTCCAACTATGTGGTCAATTTTGGAATAGGTGTGGTGTGGTGCTGAAAAAAATGTATATTCTATTGATTTGGGATGGAGAGTTCTGTAGATGTCTATTAGGTCTGCTTGGTGCAGAGCTGAGTTCAATTCCTGGGTATCCTTGTTAACTTTCTGTCTCGTTGATCTGTCTAATGTTGACAGTGGGGTGTTAAAGTCTACCATTATTATTGTGTGGGAGTCTAAGTCTCTTTGTAGGTCACTCAGGACTTGCTTTATGAATCTGGGTGCTCCTGTTTTGGGTGCATATATATTTAGGATAGTTAGCCCTTCTTGTTGAATTGATCCCTTTACCATTATGTAATGGCCTCTTTGTCTCTTTTGATCTTTGTTAGTTTAAAGTCTGTTTTATCAGAAACTAGGATTGCAACCCCTGCCTTTTTTTGTTTTCCATTTGCTTGGTAGATCTTCCTCCATCCCTGTATTTTGAGCCCATGTGTGTCTCTGCATGTGAGATGGGTTTCCTGAATACAACACACTGATGGGTCTTGACTCTTTATCCAATTCCCCAGTCTATGTCTTTTAGTTGGAGCATTTAGCCCATTTACATTTAAAGTTAATATTGTTATGTGTGAATTTGATCCTGTCATTATGATGTTAGCTGGCTATTTTGCTCGTTAGTTGATGCAGTTTCTTCCTAGCCTTGATGGCCTTTACAATTTGACATGTTTTTGCAGTGGCTGGTACTGGTTGTTCCTTTCCATGTTTAGTGCTTCCTTCAGGAGCTCTTTTAGGGCAGGCCTGGTGTTGACAAAATCTCTCAGCATTTGCTTGTCTGTAAAGTATTTTATTTCTCCTTCATTTATGAAGCTTAGTTTGGGTGGATATGAAATTCTGGATTGAAAATTCTTTTCTTTAAGAATGTTGAATATTGGCCTCCACTCTCTTCTGGCTTGTAGAGTTTCTGCCGAGAGATCAGCTGTTAGTCTGATGGGCTTCCATTTGTGGGTAACACAACCTTTCTCTCTGGCTGCCCTTAACATTTTTTCCTTCATTTCAACTTTGGTGAATCTGACAATTATGTGTCTTGGAGTTGCTCTTCTTGAGGAGTATCTTTGTGGCGTTCTCTGTATTTCCTGAATCTGAATGTTGGCCTGCCTTGCTAGATTGGGGAAGTTCTCCTGGATAATATCCTGCAGAGTGTTTTCCACCTTGGTTCCATTCTCCCCATCACTTTCAGGTACACCAATCAGACGTAGATTTGGTCTTTTCACATAGCCCCATATTTCTTGGAGACTTTGTTCATTTCTTTTTATTCTTTTTTCTCTAAACTTCCCTTCTCGCTTCATTTCATTCATTTCATCTTCCATCACTGATACCCTTTCTTCCAGTTGATCGCATCGGCTCCTGAGGCCTCTGCATTCTTCACGTAGTTCTCGAGCCTTGGCTTTCAGCTCCATCAGCTCCTTTAAGCACTTCTCTGCATTGGTTATTCTAGTTATTCATTTGTCTAATTTTTTTTCAAAGTTTTTAACTTTTTTGCCATTGGTTTGAATTTCCTCCTGTAGCTTGGAGTAGTTTGATCGTCTGAAGCCTTCTTCTCTCAACTAATCAAAGTCACTCTCCATCCAGCTTTGTTCCATTGCTGGTGAGGAACTGCATTCCTTTGGAGTAGGAGAGGTGCTCTGATTTTTGGAGTTTCCAGTTTTTCTGCTCTGTTTTTTCCCCATCTTTGTGGTTTTATCTAGTTTTTGTCTCTGATGATGGTGATGTACAGATGGGTTTTTGGTGTAGATGTCCTTTCTGTTTGTTAGTTTTCCTTCTAACAGTCAGGACCCTCAGCTGCAGGTCTGTTGGAGTTTGCTAGAGGTCCACTCCAGACCCTATTTGCCTGGGTATCAGCAGCAGTGGCTGCAAAACAGCGATGGCTGTAGAACAGCAGATTTTCATGAACCGCAAATGCTGCTATCAGGAAGTTTTGTCTCAGAGGGGTACCTGGCCGTGTGAGGTGTCAGTCTGCCCCTACTGGGGGGTGCCTCCCAGTTAGGCAGCTCGGGGGTCAGGGACCCACTTCAGGAGGCAGTCTGCCCGTTCTCAGATCTCCAGCTTCGTGCTGGGAGAACCACTACTCTCCTCAGAGCTGTCAGACAGAGACATTTAAGTCTGTAGAGGTTACTGCTGTCTTTTTGTTTGTCTGTGCCCTGCCCCCAGAGGTGGAGCCTACAGAGGCAGGCAGGCCTCCTTGAGCTGTGCTGGGCTCCACCCAGTTTGAGCTTCCCCCCGGCTTTGTTTACCTAAGCACGCCTGGGCAATGGCAGGTGCCCCTCCCCCAGCCTCGCTGCTGCCTTGCAGTTTGATCTCAGACTGCTGTGCTAGCAATCAGGGAGACTCTGTGGGCGTAGGACCCTCTGAGCCAGGTGCGGGATATAATCTCCTGGTGTGCCATTTGTTAAGCCTATTGGAAAAGCACAGTATTAGGGTGGGAGTGACCTGATTTTCCAGGTGCCGTCTTGTCACCCCTTTCTTTGACTAGGAAAGGGAACTCCCTGACCCCTTGCACTTCCCGAGTGAGGCATTGCCTCACTCTGTTTCAGCTCATGCACGGTGCGCTGCACCCACTGTCCTGCACCCACTGTCTGGCACTCCCTAGTGAGATGAACCTGGTACCTCAGATGGAAATGCAGAAATCACCCATCTTCTGTGTCGCTCACGCTGGGAGCTGTAGACTGGAGCTGTTCCTATTCGGCCATCTTGGCTCCACCTCTCATTTTTAATTTTTTATTTTATTTTTCAAATTTTATTTTAGATTTGGGAGTACATGTGTAGTTTTATTACATGGGTGTATTCCGTGATGCTGAGGTTTGGGGTATTATTAATCCCATCACTCAGTACAAAGCATACTACCTGATAGTTTTTCAAACCTGCCACCCTCCCCCTTTCATTAGTTTGCAGTGTCTATTGTTGCCATTTTTATGTCCAAGAGTATCAAATGTTCAACTCTCACTTATATCTGAGAACATGGGTATTTGGTTTTCTGTTATTGCATTAATTTGCTTAAGATAATGGCCTCCAGCTGCATCTATGTTGTTGCAAAGGACATGATTTCATTATTTTTTGTGGCTGCATAGTATTCCATGATGTATATGTACCATATTTTCTATATGCAAGCCACTGTCGATGAGCACCTAGGTTGATTTCATGTCTTTGCTATTGCAAATAGTGCTGTGATGAACATAAAATGCATGTGTCTTTGTGGTAGAATAATTTGTTTTCTTTTGGGTATATATCCAGTAATAGGATTGCTGGGTCAGGGTAATTCTACTTTAAGTTCTTTGAGAAATCTCCAAACTACTTTCCACAGTGGCTGAACTAGTTTACAGTCCCCCAACAATATATAAGCCCTCTCTTTTCTCCCCAGCCTTACCAGCATCTGTTGCCTTTTGATTTTCTAAATAATAACCATTCTGACTGGTGTGAGATGGTATCTCATGGTTTGCATTTCTCTGATGATTAGTGATGTGGAGCATTGTTTTCATATGTTTTTGGTTACTTGCATGTCTTCATTTCAGAAGTATCTGTTCGTGTCTTTTTTTTTTGCCTTTTTTTTAGTGGAATTATTTGTTTCTAGCTTGCTTAATTGTTTTAATTCCATGTAGGTTCTAGATGTTAGACTTTTGTGGGATGCATAGTTTGTGAGTACTTTCTCCCATTCTGTAGGCTGTCTGTTACCTCTATTGATAGTTTCCTTTGCTGTGCAGAAGCTTTTTAGTTTAATTAGGCCCCACTTGTAAATTTTTGTTTTTGTTGCAATTGCTTTTGAGGACTTGGTCATAAATTCTTTCCCAAGGCCAATGTCCATAATAGTGTTTCCTAGATTTTCCCCTAGGATTCTTAAAGATTGGAGTCTTACATTTAAATCTTTAATCCATCTTGAGTTAATTTCTGTATATGGTGAAAGATAGGGGTTCAGTTTCATTCTTCAGCATATGGCTCACCAGCTATCCCAGCACCATTTATCAACTAGGGAGTCCTTTCCTCATTGCTTGTTTTTGTCAACTTTGTTGAAGATCAGATGGCTATAGGTGTGCAGCTTTATTTCCGAGTTCTATATTCTATTCCAGTGGTCTATTTGTCTGTTCTTGTGCCAGTGCCAGAATATTGTGGTTACTGTGGCCTTGTATAGTTTGAAGCTGGGTAATGTGATGCCTCTGTCTTTGTTCTTTTAGTTTAGGCTTTGGGCTTTTTTTTTTGGTTTCATATGAATTTTAGAAGAATCTTTTCTAGTTCTGTGAAAAATGACATTGATAGCTTGATAGGAATAATGTTGAATCTGTAGATTGCTTTGGGGGGTATGACCATTTTAACAGTATTGATTCTTCCTATCCATGAACATGGGATGCTTTTCCATTTGTTTGTGTCATCTATGATCTCTTTTGGTAGTGCTTGGTCATTCTCTTTGTAGAGATTTTTACCTTCTTGGTTTGATGGTTTGGTGTATTTCTAGGTAATAAAATGACACAAATATTTTATTTTTCTTTTGTAGTTTAGTTTTTTGATGCTATTGTAAATGTGATTGCATTCTTCATTTGGCTCTCAGCTGAAACATTATTGGTGTACAGAAATGCTACTGATTTTTATACATGATTTTGTATCCTGAAACTTTACTGAAGTCCCTTATTAGTTCCAGGAGCCTTTGGGTGGAGTCTTTAGGATTTTCTAGGTATAGAATCATATCATCAGCAAAAAGAGATACGTTGATGTATTTTCCTATTTGAATGCCCTTTTTTGTTTTTTTATCTTTCCTGATTGCTCTGGCAAGGCCTTCTACTACTATGTTAAACAGGAGTGGTAAGAGTAGACATCCTTGCCTTGTTCCAATTCTCAAGGGAATGCTTCCAGCTTTTGCCCACTCAGTATGTAGGCTGTGGGTTTGTCATAGATGGCTCTTATTATTTTGGGGCATGTTCCTTCAATGCCTAGTCTTGAGGGTTTTTGAATATGAAGGGATGTTGGATTGTATCAAAAGCTTTTCCCATGTCTATTGGATGATTATACCTTTTTCAAAAAATTCTGGTTATGTGGGGAATCACATTGATTTGCTCATATCAAACCAACCTAGCCTCGCAGGAATGAAGCCTACTTGATCATTGTGATTAACTTTTTGATGTGCTGTTGAATTTGGTTTGCTAGTATTTTGTTGAGGATTTTTGTGTTTATGTTTATCAGGAATATTGGCTTGTAGTTTTCTTTTCTCATTGTTTCTTTACCAGGTTTTGGTATCAGGGTGATGCTGGCTTCATTGAGTGAGTTAGGGAGGAGTCCCTTCTCCTTGATTTATTTGAACAGTTATAGTAGTATTGGTACCAGTTCTTTTTTGTATGTCTGGTAAAATTCAGCTGTGAATCCATCTGGTCTGGAGGTTTTTATTGGTTGGTAGGTTTTTTTTTTTTTAAAATAACTGATTCAAGTTTAGGACTTAATATTGGTTTGTTCAGGGTTTCAATTTCTTTCTAAATCAATCTTGGGAGATTATGTGTTTCTAGGAATTTATCCTAGAAACATAAATTTTCTTTTTTTTCATGCTTATTGAATCTTTATTTTGACTTATTTGGCATGAAAAATACAATAGTGAATAAACAATAGTTTCTGGGCTAATGGAACACTCTTTAAGAAATATATAACAACCAAAAAATTAAGATGAATGAATGTTATAAAAAAGAAAGTATATGCGACCCTAAATGATAAGACACAGGGATATCTTCTAAACTAGAAGGGGTTCTTTTTTACTGATACATAATAATTGTACATATTTATGGGATACATGTGATATTTTGATACTGTATTCTCACATGCTATATGAGTTATGATTTATTTCTAGAAGTTATAAAATGGATTATTTATTTATTTTTATTATACTTTAAGTTCTGGGATACATGTGCAGAATGCACAGGTTTGTTCCATAGGTATACATGTGTCATGGTGGTTTGCTGCACCCATTAACCCGTCATCTAGGTTTTAAGCCATACATGCATTAGGTATTTGTCCTAATGTTATCCCTTCCCTTGTCCCCCCTACCCCATGACAGGCCCTGGTGTGTGATGTTCCCCTCCCTCTGTCCATGTGTTCTCATTGTTCAACTCCCACTTTTGAGTGAGAACATGTGGTGTTTGGTTTTCTGTTTCTGTGTTAGTTTGCTGAGAATGATGGTTTCCAGCTTCATCCATGTCCCTGCAAAGGACATGAACTCTTCCTTTTTTATGGCTGCATAGTATTCCATGGTGTGTATGTGCCACATTTTCTTTTTCCTGTCTATCATTGATGGGCATTTGGGTTGGTTCCAAGTCTTTGCTATTGTGAATAGTGCTACAATAAACGTATGTGTGCATGTGTCTTTATAGTAGAATGATTTGTAATCCTTTGGGTATATAAACAATAATGGGATTGCTGGGTCAAATGGTATTTCTGGTTCTAGATCCTTAGGGAATTGCCACACTGTCTTCCACAATGGTTGAACTGATTCACACTCCCACCAGCAGTGTAAAATCCTTCCTATTTCTCCACAGCCTCACTAGCATCTTTTGATTCCTGACTTTTTAATGATTGCCTTTCTAACTGGCATAAGATGGTATCTCATTGTGGTTTTGATTTGCATTTCTCTAATGACCAGTGATGATGAACTTTTTTCATTTGTTTGTTGGACGCATAAATGTCTTTTTTTGAGAAATGTCTGTTCATATCCTTTGCCCACTTTTTGATGGGGTCGTTTGTTTTTTTCTTGTAAATTTGTTTAAGTTCCTTGTAGAATCTGGATGTTAAACTTTTGCCAGATGGATAGATTGCAAAAATTTTCTCCCATTCTGTAGGTTGCCTGTTCACTCTAATGATAGTTTCTTTTGCTGTGCAGAAGCTCTTTAGTTTAATTAGATCCCTTTTGTCAATTGTGGCTTTTGTTGCAATTGCTTTTGGCATTTTTTCATGAAGTCTTTGCTCATGCCTATGTCCTGAATGTTATTGTCTGGGTTTTCTTCTAGGGTTATGGTTTTTGGTCTTATGTTTAAGTCTTTCATCTATCTTGAGCTAATTTTTGTATAAGGTGTAAGGAAGGGGTCCAGTTTCAGTTTTCTGCATATGGTAGCCAGCTTTCCTAGCTCCATTTATTAAATGGGGAATCCTTTCCGCATTGCTTGTTTTTGTCAGGTTTGTCAAAGATCAGATGGTTGTAGATGTGTGGCGTTATTTCTGAGGCCTCTGTTCTGTCCCATAGGTATTTTATTCTCTTTGTATCAATTGTGAATGGGAGTTCACTCATGATTTGGCTCTCTGTTTATTATTCGTGTATAGAAGTGCTTGTGATTTTTGCACATTGATTTTGTATCCTGAGACTTTGCTGATGTTGCTCATCAGCTTAAGGAGTTTTTGGGCTGAGACAATGGCGTTTTCTAAATATACAATCATGTCATCTGCAAACAGTGACAATTTCACTTCCTCTCTTCCTATTTGAATACCCTTTATATGTTTATCTTGCCTGATTTCCCTGGCCAGAATTTCCAATACTATAGAAACATAAATTTTCTACAGTAAAATGTGTGCAAAGATGTGTTCATAATAGTCTCTGGAAATCTTTTTATTTCTGTGCGATCAGTTGTAATGTCACCTTTGTCATTTCTAATTGTGCTTGGATCACCTTTTGTTTTCTTTGTTAATCTAAATAGCTTTAGGTTGATTTTGTTTATTCTTTCAAAGAAACATCTTTTGGTTTTGTTGATTTTTTGGGGGCTTTTGTGTCTCAGTTTTATGCAGTTCTGATCTATTTTTAGTTATTTATTTTCTTCTACTTGCTTTGGAGTTAGTTTGTTCTTGTTTTTCTAGTTCCTCTAAGTGAGATGTTAGACTGTTAATTTCAGATTGTTCTAACTTTTTGAGGTAGGCATTTAGTGCTATAAACTTTCCTCTTAACACTGCTTTTGGTGTATCCCAGAGATTATGGTATGTTTTGTCTCTGTTTTAATTCATTTCAAAGAATGTTTTTTATTTCTGCCTTAATTTTTTTGTTTACCTAAAATTTTTTCAGGAGCAAGTTGTTTAATTTCCATGTAATTGTATGGCTTCAAGGGAGCTTCATGGTATTGATTTCGATTTTCATTCCACTGTGGTTCATGAATATGATGGGTATGATTTCAATTTTAAAAAAATTTATTGACACTTGCTTTATGACTGAGGATGTGGATGATCCTGCAGTATGTTCTGTGTGCAGACAAAAAGAGTGGATATTCTGTGGTTGATGGGTGAAATATTCTGTCAGTGTCTCTTAGGTCCAGTTGGTCAATTGAACTGCAGAATTTCTGTTAGTTTTCTGCCTTAATGATCTGTCTAATGCTGGCAATGGTGTGTTGAAGTCCTCTACTATTGTTTTATGGCTGTCTGTCTTTTCATAGATCTAAAAGTACTTGTTTTATGAATTTGAGTGCTCCAGTGTTGGGTGTATATGTGTTTAGGATACATGAGCCATCTTGTTGAATTGAAGCCCTTATCATTATGTAATGCCCTTCTTTGTTCTTTTTTACTGTTGTTGATTTAAAGTCTGTTTTATCTAGGATTGGTCTTACTGTTTTTTGTGTTCTATTTGCACAGTAGCTCTTTCTCCAACACTTTACTTTGAGCCTATGAATGTTATTAAATGTGAGATGGATCTCTTGAAGACAGTAGATGTATTTTTTTTTTCAAATTGCCACTCTGTGCCTTTTAAGTGAGGGCATTTAGACCATTTACAGTCAAGGTTAATATTGAGATGTGCAGTTTTGATCCTATCATGAAGTTGTTAGCTGGTTCCTTGGTAGTTTTTATTGCATGGGTTTTTTAAGGGTTTGTAGGCTATATACTTAAGTGTGCTTCTGTGGTAGCAGATATTGCTCTTTTGTTTCCATGTTTAGAACTCTTTTAAGGATCTCTTGTAAAGGTGATCTAGTGTCAATAAATTTCCTTAGCTCTTGCTTCTTTGGAAAATATTTTATTTCTTGTTCACTTATGAAGCTTGATTTGGCAGGATATGAAATTTATTTTTGGTTGAAATTTCTTTTCTTTTCTTTTTTTTTTTTTTTTGAGACAGAGTCTCTGTCGCCCAGGCTGGAGTGCAGTGGCACGATCTCGGCTCACTGCAAGCTCCGCCTCCCGGGTTCACGCCATTCTCCTGCCTCAGCCTCTCCGAGTAGCTGGGACTACAGGCGCCCGCCACCACGCCCGGCTAATTTTTTGTATTTTCAGTAGAGACAGGGTTTCACCGTGGTCTGTATCTCCTGACCTCGTGATCCGCCCGCCTCGGCCTCCCAAAGTGCTGGGATTACAAGCGTGAGCCACCGCGCCCGGCCGAAATTTCTTTTCTTTAAGAATGATAAAAATAGGCAGCGAATCACCCCTGGCTTATGAGGTTTCTGTTGAGACATCCGCTGTTAGTCCCTTTGTATGTGATCTGACCTCTTTCTCTAGCTGCCTTTAAGATTTTTTCTTTGGTGTTGACCTTGGACATTCTGGTTACAATACACCTTGGTGATGTTCATTTTGCATAGTATCTCACAAGTGTTCTGTAGATTTCTTATATCTGGATATTTGCTTCTCTAGCAAGACTAGGAAAACAATATTGAATTATTCCCTCAAATATATTTTCCAGGTTGTTTTCTTTTCCTCCGTTTTTTTCAGGAATGGTGATAATTTATAGGTTTAGTTACTTTAAATTATCTCATATTTTTCAAAGACTCTTCATTTTCAAAAATTATTTTTCTTTATTTTTGTCTGACTGAGTTAGTTCAAAAGACTAGCCTTTAAGCTCTGAAATTCTTCTGCTTGGTTCAGTCCATTGAGAAATCGTTCAATTGTATTTTGAAATTCCTTAAGTGAGTTTTTAAATTCCAGAAGTTATGATTGATTTCTTTTGAAGATGTTTATCTCTTCCTGCATTTCCCGAATTGCTTTAGGAGTTACTTTGTGTTGATTTTCAACCTTAGCTCAGATCTCCTTCAGCTTCTTTGCAATTCATGCTTTGAATTCTTCCTCTGTCATTTCTTAGTTTCCATATTCATTACGGACAATTGCTGGAGCCGTTAGTGTGATCCTTTAGTGGTGTTATTACATTCAGATTTTTCGTTGTGCTAGAATTCTTGCACTGGTTCCTTCTCATCTGGAGATGCTGTAGTTATAATTTTTGTAACTATTTTCCTCCAGGTAGGATTTTTTCTCTTTCCTTCTTCTCCTGTGATATTACTGTTTCTTTCTTCTTTCCCTTTCCCTTACTCCCTGGGGTGTGACTGCAGAGAGTGCTGGGTAGGGTCTTTTGACTTTGCTTTTATATCCCTAGGCACTTCTGTTGGCAGATTTTATATTGGGCTGTGCAGTTCAACCCACAAGCCAGTAGATGGTGCTTTTTGTAAGCGCTGCCTATGGCCAATGATCTGGTTATATACCTGATCTTTGTTTACAGAGAAGCTCTCTGTTGCCTTAGGCAGTAGGCTGATTCTTAGAGTGAACAGTGGTCCAAGTTCCCTTAACGCTGTGGGGTGGGGGGCAAGATGTGTAAGGCTGGACCTGGCAGGTCCATTTACAAGTCCCTTGATGGCAGGGACAAGTACCAGTGCCAATGGGGAATCCAGTGGGCAGCCACCAAGTGCCCAGAAGTGTGTTTAGGCAGGAAGCTGAGAAATCTCCTTGGCCCCAAGTTCTCTGCATGGGGATGGGGTGGGCTAAAGTCCTAATCCAGAAGATTGGGTGCTCCTGAAGCCTAGAGATCTGCCTGGGCTTGAAACAAAGAGGGCCCCTATGCACCCAGATAATTGCACAGGAAGGGTGGAGTGGCTCAGCCTGCCAGTCTAGGCAAGCAGGTGCTTTGGATGCCTGAAGGTCTGCCTGGGTGTAGAGTCGAGATGGCCCAGTTGCACTATGGTCTATGCACAGGAAGAATGCAGGGAGTGAAGCTGCTGTTCCAGGTGAGTGAGTGCTCCAAATGCCAGGAGATCTGCCTGGGTGTGAAGTAGAACTCCCCCTCCTCCCATTCCCCCATAACCCACACAGGATCCCTGCACAGGAAGGGTGGGGTGACTGAGACTGCTAGTCCATGCAAGCAGTTGCTCCACATATCTGGAGATCTGCCTACACGTGGAGTGGAGAGGGCTTCACTGCAGCACAATCTATGCACAGGAAGGCTGGAGGGGTTCAGGTGGCTGATCCAGGTGAGAGGGTGGTCTGAATACCTGGAGATTTGCCTGGGTGTGGATCAGAGAGGACTCCACTGTACTGTAATCTCAGAAGAGCAGGCTGGGGCACCCAACAATAGCACATGGAGACTGGTTCCATGTTACCAAGCTGGCTGTAGCTGCAAGTCTTATTGTCCAGGAGAAACTGCAGCTGTAGCAGCTCTCCTGCCCCAGGCCTGCCACAGTGGAGAGTACAGTTCTAATGCCTTCTGCTGAGGTGATTTTCACAGTTCTGGCTGTGGAGGCCCCTACCCCACTTCAGAGCAGGCACTCCAATCTCTGGCCTGAGACCAAAATACCTGTGAGGCCATCCTGCCGGATTGCCAAATAATGGCTGACATTGTATGCACCAGGATAAAACATGGCGTCCTGCTCTTGTTCCCAGGTCTGATAAAATGGCTTCAGGTTTTCCCAGTGTCTTTCCCTCACAACATCTCCATCTTCATCCCAAGTTAGCTCCAGGGCTTGGGAGAAACAAAGTGCTCTCCTTTGGCCTTGGTTACTCAAATCCCCATTGGAAAGGTGAGTCACAGAGGGAGGCTGTCTGCCTCTTTTGTGTGGTGGGGCTTCACTCACTTATTAGCCAGATGCCATCACAGGGGCTGTTTGCCCACATTTGCCTTCCCAGGATCTGGAGTTTCCTTTACAATTCTGGTGGATTCTCATTTTCCTTCTTGAATTAAAGGTCACAGAGTTAATCTTTATGCCTGAGGCAGGCTAAAAGCGTCTAATTTGCCGTATAGGAAAAAGTATCCCTGCCTTTTAATTGGGATGTTTATACCGTTTAAATTTGATGTGGTAGTTGATGTGGTTGTGTGTAAATCTGCCATCTTGCTTTTATTATTTGTACCATGTGCTCTTTTTTCTCTTTTCTCTCTTTTTTTCTGTCTTATTTTGAATTAATTTTCAAATTAATGGTTGCATTTTATCTAATTTGTTAGCTCATTACCTACATATCCTTATTGTGTTTTTAGTAGTTGCCTTAGGCTTTATGATACACAACTCTAACTTATCACAGTCTACCTGAAAGTGATGTTATACCACGTCATGTAAAGTATAAGAACAATACAACTGTGTACTTCGATTTCTCCCCTTGCTTTTTTTTCTGCTGTTGTTTTTGCACTTTTTATTTCTCTGTATTTTATAAACCCCAACAATATATTGTTATTATTTTCTTCATACAATCACTTATCTTTCAAATAAATTTAATTAATAAGAAAAAATATTGTTATTATACAAATATTTATTATTTCTAGGACTCTTCATTCTTTCATATAGGTCCAGACTTCTGGTATAATTTTTCCTTCACCTGAAAAACTTTTGACGTTTCTTATAGTGCAGATATCTTGGTGATAAATTATTCCACCTTTTGTATATATGAAAATGTGATTTGCCTTCATTTTTGGAAGATAGCTTCACTGGATATAAAATTATACCTAGTTGACAGGGCTTTTCTTTTACCCTCCAGAACTTTAAAGATATTGCTCCACTGTCTGCTCACGTGAGTCATTTCTGGCTAGCAACTTGCTATCATCTTTATCTCTGTATATAATGCCTCACCCCATTCCTCCTGGTTGTTTTAAAGTTTTTCCATTTATTGTTTTATCATTGTTTCTCTGAAAATTTGGTTATAGTATACCTTGGTGTAGTTTTCTTCATGTTTCTTGTGCTTATGATTTGTTGAATGTCTTGAATATGCGTTTTTATAATTTCAGCAAATTTGGAAAAAATCTGACATTATATCCTTAAATATTTCTTCCCTTCTCATTCAAGGACTTCGGTCACACATATATCAGGGCACTTGAGGTTGTCCCACACTTCACTGATGCCTCTTTCCATACTATACACATCTGGGCTTCTCATACACTTTTGTGTAACTTGTTACATTTACTTGTTTAATGTCAGGATAGAGTGTCAGCTTTGTGAAGAAGAAATGATATATGCCCTACTCACATCTTTAACTTTAGCTCTAGTTCTGTGTGCTCACATAAAATAACAATAAATACTCTTAATGGACTAATTTGCATATACCTTTCGGTGGCTTTACTGTTGTCTTATTTAACAATCAATTCTCATTTATTAAAAACATTAGCTTTTCTGAAATCCATGATTTATGTTAAATGGATGTTGTAGATGGATGTTGTATCGTGGATGTTGTAGGTAAATAGACACAAGTGGTTCCCATAGTGCTTGGCAGTGGTGTTTTAGAGGGAAATTTTCTGTGCATTGTTCAGTTACAATGGAAATAGTAAATACATGATTTCATTACAAATATTTCTTTTATTGGCACAGTTTTAACAGTTTCAATCAACGTAATTAGATTAAGTCACAAGTTGATGAAATAAACATTTCCTTAGATTACTTTAGATTATTAGCATTCCAGGAAAATTACGTATTAATAATTCTAATAAGTATTCTTGCGTTTACATCTTGTTTTCTTCAGATTTTATTATTTTAAGAAGACTTTTGCTGATTGGGTTAGACCTAATCATCATGAAGTAACATGCAATTTTATTTAAAATAAAATAGTGCAGCATTTTCTGAAGTAGAATTTTAATTTTATTTTTAAAACTGTAGGCAGTTTTGGCTTTTTGTAGGCATCTGAGTTGAGATGACCGGAAGACAGGAAAATGGGTAGATACCTAGTCAATACCAAAAGAGTGATAAAGAAAAGAGTACAGGCCAGGTGTGGTGGCTCATGCCTGTACTCCCAGCACTTTGGGAAGCCGAGGCTGTAAGATTGCTTGAGTCCAGGAGTTTGAGACCAGCCTGAGCAACATAGCAAGACTTTATCTCTCCAACAGTAAAAATAAATTAGCTGGGCATGGTGGTGTGCACCTGTGGTCCCAACTACTTGGGAGGCTGAGGTGGGAGGATCACTTTCAGCTCAGGAGGTCAAGACTGAAGTAGGGTGTGATCTCACCACTGCACTCCAGTCTGGGTGACAGAGCAAGACCCTACCTCAAAAAAATAAAAAATAAAAAAATAAAGTAAGAAAGAAAAAGGAAAAGGTAAGGGTACAAAACCTGAATTTTTTTGGTCTTTGCATGTGTTTTAGAAGAATATACTTTAACTTTTAAATAGTTAATTATTAAATCTGAATATTGATTCTTCTGCATCAGTATTTATAATTAATCAATATTTCAGTCATAACAGAGAGGAAATGAAAATGAGATTACAACTAGCAATGTGTTTTTCCCTTTATAAGACTGGAACTTTCAGCTTTTCCTTTTAAGGGCTAAGAGAAAATTTTCTGTGGTACTTCAGAGTCAGCAATACCACATTCCTTTCCCTTCTAGCCATTCATTCTTCCTCAGTATCTCACATGTCCCCATGACTTAGCCCTCCTTCCAGGATCAATATTTCCTTTAATACCAATTAATTTAATTCAAGTTCCTACTTGAACAATTGTTTTTAGTCCAGGTTATCTGGTTCCTCTTGCGAAGTATTTTTTTATATTTAAACATATCAATTATCTCCTTTTCTCCTTCCTTCCTTCCTCCCTCCCTTCCTTGTTCCTTCCTTCCTTCCCTCCCTTGTTCCTTCCTTCCTTCCTTCTTTCCTTCCTTCCTTCCTCCCTCCCTTCCTCCTCCCTCCCTCTCTCCCTCCCTTCCTTTCCCTTCCCTTCCCTTCCCTTCCCTTCCCTTTTCTTTCTCACAGGATCTTGCTCTGTCACCCAACCTGGAGTATAGTAGCACAGTCTTGGCTCACTGCAACCTCCATCTCCCAGGCTTGAGTGATTCTCCCACCTCAGCTTCCCAAGTAGCTGAGACTACAGATGTGAGCTATCGTGCCTAATTTTTGTATTTTTTGTAGAGATAGGATTTTGCTGTGTTGCCCTGAGCTCAAGCAATTCACCCACCTTGGCCTCCTAAAGTGCTGGGATTACAGGTGTGAGCCACTGGAGTGGGCCCTCACCGAGTATTTCTGAGAGTCCTCAATTAATTCTTCTATTCCGCAAATGTTTCCCTGCATTTGCCACTTTAGCCAGTCACCTGGGTCCAAACTGCTTCTCCACTCTCAGATGCTGGCTTCTTCAGGTTGCAGTGGCTTCTCCCTTACAATGGCACTGCACATATGTTTCCCGACATCTTTTTTTTTTCTCCAAAACATAGCTATGAAAGTCGGGGTTTTTAAGAAAACTTCATTGAAGGCTTGGAGATTACTGAATGGATTGTAATGTAGGCAAAAAATATCTATGACTATTTTTTTTTTTTTTTTTTTTTTTTTTGAGATGGAGTCTCGCTCTGTGGCCCAGGCGGGAGTGCAGTGGCGCAATCTCGGCTCACTGCAAGCTCCGCCTCCCGGGTTCACGCCATTCTCCTGCCTCAGCCTCCCGAGTAGCTAGGACTACAGGCGCCCACCATCACGCCCGGCTAATTTTTTTGTATTTTTTTTTTAGTAGAGAAGGGGTTTCACCGTGTTAGCCAGGATGGTCTCGATCTCCTGACCTCGTGATCCGCCCGCCTCGGCCTCCCAAAGTGCTGGGATTACAAGCGTGAGCCACCGCGCCCGGCATCTATGACTATTTTTAAGTCCACTATTTGTGCCATTCCCAGGTTCATCCCATGGTGACCTTCTCTCTCCTTGATCTTCAAATTGCTGCCATCTTGTATGGATCTTTGCTGGTGTCTCCTTACCTGAAATCTGGGTTCAGTTTTTCACAAACCTAGAGCCTCCTTTCGCAGTCCTAGATATGTTTCCTTTCCTATTCCAGGATGATCCGCTGCAGTAGGAACATCCATTCATTTAGGGGAACTCCCACTCTCCACTATAGCATATGGTCTGCCCACTCCTTCTCTCTCACCCACTGCTTAGATAAGACACTCTCAACAGTTGACTATGTATTTCCTTAAGTCTGGGTTATTCAGGGTTAACTCTCTACTGAACAAAATCAAACAGTTCAGGTACTTCTAAACCAATCCCAGTTTATTCTCTTTCCATAGTCTTTGTCTAGTGAGCAGTAAAGATCAGATCAGATCCCAGATTCTTCTTGTATAGCCTAGCGGTATGTATAATGTCTCTCAGAAACCTTAGCTTATGTAAAAATTATAAAAAGATGCCCTTTCTCTGGGAAGGCTAGCAACTCATGGATTGGTAAGCAGAGCACTAGCTGATTTCTCTGCCCTTAGCCAGGTGTCCTGGAGGAGGGCCCAATGTGTAAGCAGCTTCATGGTGGTTCTGGTTTCCCAAAGGCTTAGTCCTGCCAAAAATTGCATGCCAAGGAACTTCACTAAAAAATGTGTTCAACATGTCACTCTGAAACATCTGCATTAATATCATTTTATTGGTTTGGGGCTTTCCATGAGACTTTCCCCCAGACAACAAACAGCCTTATAGATCTATGACTAAACTGGCTCACAGAGTGGTTCCTTCTAGAACAAAAGGAAGATCTACCTCCAGGAAAATTCCAGCTCTTATCCTAGACTCAGAAAATACTGATCACTCTGAAAGGATAGATCCCAATTCCAGCAGGAACTCTTTTCTATTGGGAGAAACTCTCACAACCTTCTATGTGCTACACAAAATCTTTTTTTTCCCTCTGTCCTGGTTCTTGCTTTAGTCCTCAGCTATCAAGGTTGGAGCTCATTCCGCTAGATAGAAAGACATAAATTAAAGGTCACACATTAAGAAGTCTTGCGCTAATGCTTTAGTGTTTATATGTGTATACGTCCTTATTTACCTGGTTTTTGTTTGTTTTTTTTTTTTTTTTTTTTTTTAAAAAAAGCACTTTCAGGGCATTATATAATGGTAAAGGGATCAATGCAACAAGAAGAGCTAACTATCCTAAATATATATGCACCCAATACAGGAGCACCTAGTTTCATAAAACAAGTTCTTAGAGGCCTACAAAGAGACTTATACTCCCACACAGTTGTAATGTAATGGGGGACTTTAACACCCCACTGTCAATATTAGATCAATGAACAGATCAATTAATTAATGAAGAAAAATTAACAAGGATATTCAGGACTCAAACTCAGCTCTGGACCAAGTGGACCTAATAGACATCTACAGAACTCTCCACCCCAAATCAACACAATATACATTTTTCTTAGTGCCACATAGCACTTTATAAAATTGACCACATAATTGGAAGTAAAACACTCCTTAGCAAATGCAAAAGAATGGAAATCATAACAGTCTCTCAGACCACAGTGCAATCAAATTAGAACTCAGGATTAAGAAACTCAGTCAAAACTGCACAACTACATGGAAATTGAAACAACTTGCTCCTGAATGACTACTGGGTAAATAACAAAATTAAGACAGAAATAAAGAAGTTTTCTGAAACTAATGAGAACAAAGAGACAATGTACCAGAATCTCTGGGACACAGCTAAACCAGTGTTAAGGGGGAAATATATAGCACTAAATGCCCACATCAGAAAGCTGGAAAGAACTGAAATTGACACCGTAACATCACAATTAAAAGAACTAGAGAAGCAAGAGCAAACAAATTCAAAAGCTAGCAGAGTACAAGAAATAACTAAGATCAGAGCAGAACTGAAGGAGATAGAGACACAAAAACCCTTCTAAAAAATCAATGAATCCAGGAGCTGGGGATTTGAAAAGATTAACAAAATAGTTAGACTGCTAGCTAGACTAATAAAGAAGAAAAGAGAGAAGAATCAAATATACACAATAAAAAATGATAAAGGGGATATCACCACTGATGCCACAGAAATACAAACTACCATCAGAGAATACTATAAACACCTATGTGCAAATAAACTAGAAAATCTAGAGGAAATAGATAAATTCCTGGACACACACAACCTCCAAAGACTAAATCAGGAAGAAGTTGAATCTTTGAATAGATCAGTAACAAGTTCTGAAATTGAGGCAGTAATTAATAGCCTACCACCTCCACCACCACCACCAACAACAACAAAAAAGCCCAGTACCAGACGGATTCATAGCCAAATTCTACCAGAGGTACTAAGAGGAGCTTGTACCATTCCTTCTGAAACTATTCCAAACAATAGAAAAAGAGAGATTCCTCCCTAACTCATTTTATGAGGCCAGCGTCATCCTGATACCAAAACCTGGCAGAGATGCAACAAAAAAAGAAAATTTCAGGCCAATATCCCTGATGAACATTGATGTGAAAATCCTCAGTAAAATACTGGCAAACTGAATCGAGCAGCACATCAAAAAGCTTATCCACCACGATCAAGTCGGCTTCATCCCTGAGATGCAAGGCTGGTTCAACATATGCTAATCAGTAAACATAATGCATCACATAAACAGAACCAATGACAAAAACCACAAGATTATCTCATAGATGCAGAAAAGGCCTTTGATGAAATTCAACATCCCTTCATGCTAAAAACTCTCAATAAACTAAGTATCGATGGAACGTATCTCAAAATAATAAGAGCTATTTATGACAAACCCACAGCCTATATCATACTGAATGGGCAAAAGCTGGAAGCATTCCCTTTGAAAACCAGCAGAAGACAAGGATGCCCTCTCTCACCACTCTTATTCAACATAATATTGGAAGTTCTGGCCAGGGCAATCAGGCAAGAGAAAGAAATAAAGCGTATTCAAACAGGAAGACAGGAAGTCAAATTGTCTCTCTTTGCAGATGACATGATAGTATATTTAGAAAACCCTATTGTCTCAGCCCCAAAACTCCTTAAGCTGATAAGCAACTTTAGCAAAGTCTCAGGATAAAAAATCAATGTGCAAAAATGACAAGCATTCCTATACACCAATAGTAGACAAGCAGAGAGCCAAATTTTGAGTGAACTCACGTCAAAATTGCTACAAAGAGAATATAATATGTAGGAATACAACTTACAAGGGACATGAGTGACCTTTTCAAGGAGAACTACAAATCACTGCTCAAGGAAATAAGAGAGCACACAAACAAATGGAAAAAAATTCCATATTCATGGATAGAAAGAATCAATATCATGAAAATGGCCATACTGCTCAAAGTAATTTATAGATTCAATGCTATTCCCATCAAGCTACCATCGACTTTCTTTGCAGAATTAGAAAAAAGCTACTTTAAATTTCATATGGAGCCGAAAAAGAGTCAGTTTAGCCAAGACAATCCTAAGCAAAAATAACAAAGCTGGAGGCATCATGCTACCTGACCTCATGCTATACTACAAGGCTACAGTAGCCAAAACAGCATGGTACTGGTACCAACACAGATATATAGAACAATGGAACAGAACAGAGACCTCAGAAATAACACCACACATCTACAACCATCCAATCTTCGGCGAACCTGACAAAAACAAGCAATGGGGAAAGTATTCCTTATTTAATAAATGGTGTTTGGAAAACTGGCTAGTCATATGCAGAAAACTGAACCTGGACCCCTTCCTTACACCTTATACAAAAATTAACTCAGGATGGATTAAAGAATTAATTGTAAAACCCAAAACCATAAAAACCCTAGAAGAAAACCTAGGCAATACCATTTAGGACATAGGCATGGGGAAAGACTTCATGACTAAAACACAAAAAGCAATTGTGACAAAAGCCAAAATTAACAAATGGGATCTAAATAAACTAAAGAGCTTCTGCACAGCAAAAGAAACTATCATTAAAGTGAACAGGCAACCTACAGAATGGGAGAAAATTTTTGCAGTCTACCCAACTGATAAAGGTCTAATATCCAGAATCTACAAGGAACTTAAACAAATTTACAGGAAAAAAAGAACAAATGAGAAATCCCATCAAAAATTGGGTGAAGGATATGAACAGGCACTTCTCAAAAGAAGACATTTATGTGGCCAACAAACAAATGAAAAAAGCTCATCATCACTGGTCATTAGAGAAATGCAAATCAAAACCACAATGAGATACCATCTCATGCCAGTTAGAATGGTGATTATTAAAAAGTCAGGAAACAACAGCTGCTAGCGAGGCTGTGGAGAAATAGGAACACTTTTACACTGTTGGTGGGAGTGTAAATTAGTTCAACCATTGTGGAAGACAGTGTGGCGATTCCCCAAGGATATAGAACCAGAAATACCATTTGACCCAGCAATCCCATTACTTGGTATATACCCAAAGGAATATAAATTACTCTACTATAAAGACACATGTGCATGTATTTTTATTGCAGCACTATTTACAATAGCAAAGACCTGGAACCAACCCAAATGCCCGTCAATGACAGATTGGATAACGAAAATGTGGCACATGCACACCATGGAATACTATGCAGCCATAAAAAAGGATGAGTTCATGTCCTTTGAAGGGACATGGATGAAGCTGGAAGCCATCATTCTCAGCAAACTAACACAGAAACAGAAAACCAAACACCACATGTTCTCACTCAGAAGTGGGAGTTGAACAATGAGAACATATGAACACAGGGAGGAGAACATCACACACTGGGGCCTGTCGGGGGTTGGGGGAAAGGGGAGGGAGAGCATTAGGACAAACACCTAATCTATGCGTGGCTTAAAACCTAGATGACAGGTTGATGGGTGCAGCAAACCACCATGGCACATGTATACCTATGGAACAAATCTGCACATTCTGCACGTGTATCCCAGAACTTAAAATAAATTTTTGTAAAAAAAGCACTTCTGAAGACATGTTTTTTTAAAAACAGGAAATAGGGTGTTTATGATTGTAATGTCATCTGTATTTTCTTTTTCTCTGTCAGTATATTCTATACACGAGTGAAGCTGCATTGGTTATATGTGGGTAAGTTTCCAAGGAAGCCTATTGACACTGAGGAATTATCTCTGCTCTAGTTTGTTGGTCAGATTTTAATTTCAAGCAAAGCCTTTTAAAAAAACTTGTGAAACAAGAATATATTTATCTAAGGTAAGAAAGGAGCTATTATATACCTAATGGGGATATAATTTGATAGGCTATCATTTAGAAATCTTAGGTAGGGTGTTAAAGATGAAACTGCTTTGGTGATTTTTTAAAAGAAAACTATGATAGCATCATATATCTTCTGCCTAGTTGTTGAAGGTATTGCAGATGCCATTCATATGAGACCATTTATTTGACTCAAAATTGTTTTGTTATTGTCTTTTTTCCCCATGATACTATTAAGTTGGAAATTAAATAGTTCCTTGGATATCCACTTAAGTAGACTGAAGAGTTTGTACCAATATGGAAATATGAGCAAGTTTCTACTATGGGGATTAAAATAATTGCCCAAATCCAATAATGCATGTGACAGAATGAGCAAGCTGTCTTCTCTCCTTGCTTTCCCAAGCACCTCCCGAAGAGGTTCATTCAAGGGTGATTACAGGGCTGTAAATCTGTGATGAGATGACCTTCCAGAGAATGTGTGTGTGTGTGTGTGTGTGTGTGTGTGTGTGTGAGAAAGAGAGAGAGATAGAGCTTGTGACCTAGTGTTGGTGAATACCTTTGAGGTGTGAAACATTACACCAACTCCTTACCCCTCTCCACCACCATTCTGGTATTCCTATAGTCAATCAGGCCAAGGAAAAGGTGAATGATCAGTCACTTTGTGTTTGAGAATCTAAAAAAAGTCACTGGCCTGCAAAGGGGAAGGCACTGCTTCTACAAGAAGTGGATGCTAAGGACTTGGAGGCCACCTTGAGTCTGAGAGATAACTGTGTCTATGAGTGGAAGCAGGGGAAACCTTGTCTAAATGGGCATCTGGTCAGTGTGGGGCAGGAGCAGAATACAGGACCTCATCTGCTGCCGCAGATCAGCCACCACATCGCCTCTGCGTGCACTTTTTCTACAATAGGAAAAGTTGTCATGTGATTTAGGGACTACTGTATTGTAGACTGAGAAACGTTAGAACACCATGTGTTGGGGTCCCAGGGAATGTTATGAATCATTCTACAATGATCCCAGTGTCTGAGGGGGTTGAAGAATGGGGTAGCAGGATATCACATCATCTCTTAGATCAAGGACAATCATCATCAATCAAAATATGCATCTAAGATTTGGGATAGGGAAAGGAACCATACAGACGTACAATGCAGGCAGGTCTTTATCACAGAACCTTGCCTTACTGATGGATACAGAAGTGAGGATACGTTATGTTTAATTAATGAAGAAAACAAATACCGTAGTGTTTGTATATTAGTTTTTAATTGCTATGTAACAAATCAACACCAGTTTAGCAGCTTCCAAAACACATCTTTATTATCTCATAGTTTTTTTGGTTAGGCACCATATGTGGCTTTACTGTACCCTCTGCTTAGGATCTCATGAGGCTGAAATCAAGGTGTTGGCTGAGGTCCTGGTTTCATCTGAGACTTGGGATCCTCTTCCAGGCTCATAGGTTGTTGGCAGTATAGTGGCCAAGGGTAATGTTCCCCTTAGCCCCTTGAAGGTTCGCTGAAAAATCAACTCATAAAAGCCTATTTACAGAAGAAAAGGCATACAAATTTATTTAACATGTAAGTAAACACGGGAGCCTTCAGAATGGGGGCAATTTTCCATTTTTATGCCTAGGTTCAGCAAATTATGGACAGCCGTGTCGAAATGGGATTGGACAAAAAAGGTACAATCAAATGCTAATAAACTGAATGGGAAACTCAGTAAGGCCTGTCTGTCTAGATTCTTCTTGGCTTCTCTGTGCAGTATTCCTTCCTTCTGGGTATAGGGCAGAACCCTCTCTGGAATGGGGGTCTTATCATCCACAGTTAAACAAGGTAAGTCAGATAATTTCTTTATGGCCAGTTTTTACGTAGACAGGGCAGAGGGAAAGTTAGAGTAACATTTTTAGGTTTATGGCTGCCTTTGGGGAAAAGGAGTTCTGGTTTCTATGGATAGCCTCAGGGGAGAATGGGACTGAGAGACAGAAGGGTAGGAGGTCAGAGAAGAACTTTTTCTTTCCAGGCTGCGTTTGAGGTTTCATTCTGGGATATTGTTTTCTGAGCCCCAACAGCAGAATTCAGTTCTTATAGCTGGAGGACTGCAGCCCTAAGTGGCCCTTTTCACAGCATAGCATTATGTTTCTACAAATCCAACAGGAGAGCATTTGTGCTGCTTTGAATCTCTCAGGGAAGGCCAGCACCCTCTTATCAAGAGCTCACCTGATTAGGTCAGGCCCACTTAGGATAATCTCCCTTTTGATTAACTCAGAGCCAAGTGAGTAGGGACCTTCATTACATCTGTGTAATCCCTTCACCTTTGTTATTCAATGTAACCCAATTACAGGAAAGAAATCTTATTATGTTTATAAAATCCCTTACCTGTGAAAAGAGAGGAAATTGTACAGATGATTCCAGGGGTCTGCCATCTTGGGGACCATCTTAGGAGGATGCCTAACACAGTTGGAGATGAAAGCAGCTAAAGAATAACGAATTCTTCTTGGATTCCACAAGGCTTCATTCTAGTCCAATTTTCTCAACTACAAACAATTATAAACTCTACCTGGAGGAGAGTATTGAATGAATTAGTTTGAAAAATAAAGAAAAACAACTTCTCAAAAATGTATGTATAGAGAGCAATCAAGGGAAAGGAAAAATAAAAACAGGATAGCACATGGAAGACAACGGAAAAGTTATGCTGCTGAGTCAGACACAGTTACAAAAGTGGCCTTATTTTTTGCTCTAAGGTTTCCAGCAGCTAAAGAAGGAAACAAGACCACATTCATCCCCTGTATACAAGATACCAGATGTTTAGTAGAAACCGTGTTTTAAAACTCAGGTGGATGTGCAGAATGGTGAAGCCGTCGCACCGATGCCCTCTAAGGAACATGATTCTAAAGGCCAAACAATTAAATTAATACACAATTCTCTCTCCTTGATTGATTTTCTGTAAGAAAAACTTCTAGAAGTAAAATGAGTGGCTTCATATTCTCCTGACTTTTTTTTTTTTGGTGAATATTTCTTAATTTTTACAAAAAGTGAGCAGCAGGGAATTTGAGATTATGTTCTTTAGAAAGATTCTTCCATTTCGTTATTCCATTCATTTTCTCCTGATTTGTCAGACCTCTCTTGACCTTTTTTTCCCCCCTTTCTAACCTGGATTCTGTGATCCGGCCACTTGCCAGTATCTTCCAGGATCTTGCTTTCGCTTGCTCTTCACTGCAGATTCATGGCCTGTGAACTCGGCTAAACCTTCATCTTCTCACATATTCCTAGTCAATTCTCACAATTTCCACAAGAGAAAGGAAAAGTCACTCAGCAATATTTCACTCAGCAATATTTTGCACTGGAAGTTTTGTGCATAGCCTTGCTTATTTATTATGCAATATATATATATATATGCACAAATCTACACAAATCTACATTTAGATTTAAATTCTGATATTTAGATTTAAATTAATTAATTAGATTTAAATTAATATATATTTAGATTTAAATTTTGATATTTATCAGAATGGAATCATACTACGTAAACTCTTTTGCTACCTGGAACTTTCATTTAACAATGGAGAGTTTCCATATCAACAAATATGGAAAATCATTAGTAATGGCTATATGATATTCTATTATTTTAATGAAGTATAATATATTTAACCAAAATTTTGCTTTGGGCTGAGTACAGTGGCTCACATCTGTAATCCCAGCACTTTGGGAGGCCAAGGTGGGCAGATTACTTGAGCCTAAGAGTTCGAGACCAGCCTAGTCACTAGCAACATAGTGAGACCCCGTCTCTACAAAAAATTAAAACAACTGGACATGATGGTGCTCACCTGCAGTTTCAGCTACTCTGGAGGCTGAGGCAAGGAGAATTGCTTGAACTCAGGAGATCAAAGCTGCAGCAAGCCATGATCATGTAACTGCACTCCAGCATGGGTGACAGAGCAAGACCTTGGCTCAAAAAAAAATTTTTTTTCTTTTTATTTAGAACATTTCCAAGTTTTTTCTATTAAAACAATGCTGCAGACAAGTCCTATTCTTTGTGCACTTGTTTGACTGATAGAATAAATTCCCTGAAGTTGAATAAGTGGATCAAAGATATGTACCTTATAAGGATGTTGATACATATTGTCAAATTTTCCTCCAGAAAGTTTATACCAGTTTACTCCCATGACAGGCTGAATAATAAACCCCCTTCTCCAAAGATGTCCACATCTGAATCCCCAGAACCTGTGAATATGTTACCTTATGTTATAAAAGGAACTTTGAAAATATGATTACGTTAGGGATTTTGAGATGGGGAGACTATCCCATACTATCTGGGTGGGCCCAGTGTAGTCACAAGGGTTCTTAAAAAAGGGAGGCAGGAGGGTCAGAGTCAGAGGGAAACAGGTTGGAGTGATAAAGGAGGGGTCAGGAGCCAAGAATCAGAGCCGACTCTAAATGCTGGAGAAGGTAAGGAAATGGATTCTCCTCTGGAGCCTCCAGAAGAAACAGCCTGGCTCATCCATTTTAGACTTCTGACTTCGGAACTGTAAGAGAATAAATTTGTGTTGCTTTAAGTCATGAAGTTGTGGGTAAATTGTCACAGTGGCAATAGGAAACTAATATAGTCCCCAAAAGAGTATATGACAGTTCTTACTTTTCCACATCCACACCGTCACACTATTGTCATTCCTTTTCACCTGTTGTTTATTCTGAGTAAAAAGTGGTAGCTCATAGTTTCAACTTGTATTTCATAGAATATTATTCAATTTGAAAAATTTTCAATGTTTATTTGCCATTTTAATTCTTTCTTTGGTCAGTTGCCCAGTCATATCCTTTATCTGTGTTTCTATTTGAATGTGTATTTTCTTCTGCATTAATTTGTAATGGTTTATTGTACAGAGAATGTCAACTGTTTTGCCACATATGCTGCAATTTTTTTTCTGATATTTTATTTGTCTCTTGTTTAAAGTGTTTCCTCATATTTAAAAGGGTTCCATTTTAATTGTCATGTTTGGAATGTTCTTCCCTAAATTTATCAAAGTATTTATTTGTTTTTTTAGTACTTTCATGTTTTTATTTTAAAGATAGCCCAATGCAAGGATGCAGAGAAATGGGAACATTTATACACTGTTGATGAAATGTAAATTAGTACAACCTCAATGGAAAATGGTATGAAGATTTCTCAAGGAACTAAAAATAGAACAACCATACTATCTAACGATCCTACTACTGGGTACCTACCTAAAGGAAAATAAATCATTATATTAAAAAGGCACCTGCACTTGTATATTTATTGCAGCACTATTCACAATAGCAAAGATATAGAATCAACCTAAGTGTCCACCAGTAGACTATTGGATAAAGAAAATGTGGTATATAAACATAAAAGAGAATGAAATCATGTCTTTTGCAGCAATGTGGATGCAACCAGAGGCCATTTTCTTAAGTGAAGCAACGCAGACACAGAAAGACAAGTACTGCATATTCTAACTTATAAGAGGGAGCTGAATAATGTGTGTACTTGGAAGTAGAGAGTGGAATGTTAGTGGAGGATCTAAAGGGTGAGGGGCATGGGAAGGAGGTGGATGATGAGAAATTACTTAATGGGTACCATGTACATTACTTCAGTGATGTGTACACCAAATGCCTTGACTTCATCACTATGCAATATATAACAAAATTATACTTGTACTCATAAATGTATACAAATTTTAAAAAGTATCCATAAGTGTACACAAATTTTAAAAAGTAAAGATAGCCAACGCAGTTCAAAGTGTATAAAATATTCATTCGTATGGTTTCATATCCCATATTACAACTAATTTTTAAGAAAATCACTTAAATTTTGTTGTAATGTCGAAGAAGGATACTCAACAGTTCTCCAAAGATTATTAAAATACTCCTTCTTCAACTATATAGCTGTGTGATTGTGGCTTATTTTTACATTTAAATCTCACAGCTGTTTTCCTCTTCATCCAAATTTGTGAGGCCCCAGTTACTTGTTCTTGCTTTATTTTTTCTTTACAGGCAGTATTTCACTCTGTTGCCCAGGCTGGAGTGGATTCATGCCTAGCTGACTTTTAAAATTCTTTTAGAGAGGGGCCAGGGAGAGGAAGTCTTGCTATGTTGCCCAGGGTGGTCTTGAACTTCTGGCCTCAAGCGACCCTCTCACCTCAGCCTCCTGAGTAGCTAGGATTATAGGCATGAGCCACTTCTTCTGGCTTGTGAAATTCAAGTTCAATTTTTTGCAAAGCTACTTCGGAGGTGGGATCGTGAACATTCAACAGGAGGTATGTATTATCTGTTTGCCTCTCTTGGCACCCTATGGAAGAGTCTATCACAGTTTTATTATACTTCATTGCAGTTTTATATGTAGTTGCCTCTCTCCCTTTCAAGGCTGTAAAGTCTTTGAAGACAGTGCCAGTGTCCTCAGCATCTAGCTTAATGTCTGGCACGGTGACCAAATAAATCAAGGACACTCCTATGAGATTTATCATGTCATATAGCGTAATTTTTACCAACCCCTCCAGGAAAGTTAGTTGCAAAATATTTTCTTAAATAATTAAGGGAGATAAGCTGTTGTATACCTGTTGGAAAAGCTATTAAAGTTTGGACAACTTCTCTTCCAAAAATGACAATGAGGGCTTAAAGCTGCTGCTCATGTCCCATTTATTATTAGCCAGATAGCGAAAATCTCTCTTTTTAAAATTTTTATTAATTTATTCATTTTTATTATACTTTACATTCCAGGGTACGTATGCACATTGTGCAGGTTTGTTACATATGTATACATGTGCCATGTTGGTGTGCTGCGCCCATTAACTCATCATTTACATTAGGTATATCTCCTAATGCTATCCCTCCTCCCTCCACTCATGGGTATCTCTCTTAAAACTGCTGCTAGTTTGGGGCAATCTCTCTGTTCATATAACCAAGGACCATTTCGACATATGAGGAAACTGAGTTTCAGAGAGGTTTAATCACTTGCCTTAATGACATAGCTAATACTTCGTAGAGCTTAGGGCTTAGATCTAGGTCTTCAGACTCCAATTACAAGGCTTTTTTTTCCCCAGGATATTGATTGGCTACTGAGCGGCTCCCACATTAGGTGGGCTTTAACAAATGATAAGGCACAAATACTAGTCTCCTTTCAACCCTGGAGTAAAGCTCATCAAATCCACCTGCAGGGCTAGATAACTCTGAGCAAAGAGAAGCCCCAAAATAAAACTAATCGGCAACAGGAGTTTCTCAAGGCTGTGGCAATGAGCAAAAAGCCCCTCAACTTGATGCATTGTTTTAAGAGAGAAAAAAATAAGTGATTCAAAAATCTGCCATTGTAAAAAGCCTCAAAATTATAACCTGCTGGCTGCCCTTGGCCATGGGGGCAGTCTGGGCTGCATAGCAGTGGAATCCCTCCCTCAGTAGCTGGGCTTCATGCCTGAGCACCTGCCAGCACTCACTTCACACATAAACTAACTGCGTTGCCACACTGGATGCTTGACCTGTGTCTCGTGTCCTCACCTGAAGTAGAAACTACTAAATCAGGATCCTCCCTCTGGCTGCACCAGTGTGAGCTCTGCAAAGATCATCTCAATGGATCCTGAAGTGTTCCCGATTTGGCGCCAAAGCTTATCCTGAATAGTTTCATTAGCTTGCAATCATGAGAAGCCAAGCCATTCCAAGCATAAAGGCCAACAAAGACAGCTCTCTGACTTATTCCCCAGAGGCTCCTAGTAATGCTTCAACCATTTAAAAAAACCAGTGGCACCCTCACATTTGGACCAGGCCATATAATGATCTGAGTACATGATACTTGAGGGAGAATACAGCGTATGCTAAAAGAACAAACCAAAACTGAAAAACAAACTCAATCTGGAGGTTTTCAAGAGGGTTCAGTGTGACATTACAACAGAATCACAGTGAGTGCCATGAGGAAGTACACTCTATGTAACTTTCCTCTATACTTTTCAGCTATTAGCTTTTATAGAACCCAAACTTTAAAAGTCTTCAGTTTTTTTATGCACAGGTTGGGTGTCTGAGTTGTTTGAGAATGGGTAACACGAGACAATAATGTATGTTAAACAGCTTTGTCTCCACTAAGAAGTTCCTCTGAACTCCTGGAGTCAGGCTCTTCGTTCACTGTGGCCTCATAGCATCCAGTTTATGTAATATTGTGCTATCATCCATATTGCACAGAAGTTACACACAGGTGTAGCTAGTGGTTATGTGTCACCCTCAGAAAAAGCAGGACTCATGTGCTATTCTTCTCTGTTGACCTTCAGCTAGAATAATGCCTGGCACTTAAGAAGTATGTGTTGAATGAATGCTGTTACCTCCACTGAACTACTTTATACACATGATTTCTTCTTTTATCACTTCTGCTTCCATGAATCTGATTACTTTTAGAGAACAGGAAACTTCCTAAAGTAATTTTCACTTAATTACTGAAGAATAGTACTCATCACAAAGTTGTCTTTTCCACTAAAACAAAAATTACAGACTTATTATAGAACAGTCTAAAATGTGACAGTGAAATCTGAATAGAGGTAAGGTTGGCATTTTTCTTCTCTGGAAATAAATCCAGGTTCATGATTAATACAAAGTAAGATAAGGACCAGGACAGTCATCATTGCTTGTCCTGACATTTCCCGAAGGCTGGTTAGTTTCTGAACCACTTCAAGGCTTGGTGTGCTCTCCAGGGCAAGCCGGGGGTCAGCTGAGGAATCCTGCCCTAAATACAACTTTCTTAGGATAATCCTTCTGATTATCCTAAGACACAGGCAGCTCTGACAAGACAAGAGCCTAGGCAGCCCTGAACCAGAGCTCCCTAATCAGGGCAAGGAAGTTTCGTTTCACATCCTAATGCGAAGAGAATTCCTGGAATGTTGGAATGAGAAAACGTGGTGCTGGGCTTGGCGGTAACTTCGCGATAGATGAATAGCAGCCACCGTGGATTCAAGTGGGGAAGTGGTGGCACGGGGCTGGATATCACCATCCTTGACTCCATTGCTTCACATTGTGGAAAAACTTTGTTACATATGGATCTTAATCATCTCAGCCTTGAGGAGTGCAGAGATGAGAGTTCCCACAGAATACCCTACATTCACACTCCCTTGTCAAAAATAATCAACGTAATTTTCATAAAGAAATGACTGGGAGCTGAGAACAATAATATGTTCTAGTACAAATCCTTCTCAATGTGCCCTTGGGAGGTTTGGCTGAATGCAATCCCCACAGAAGCCTTCAGTATGGAGCCAGTTCTTAAAACCAGTTGTTGCCTATTTGATTGATTCATTGATTGCACCAGTCACTGACCTGTGCATGGCAGTGGGGGAGTTGCTCTTTGGCAGTCAAGGGAAATAATAATAGGAAAGCTGCCAAGATAAGGCATCTGGCAGAACTTGTTGAAACTCTATTTCTAGAACTTGGAATGCACGCTGACCTCAAAGGCACCAATTCCTCTTCGTGCCCTTAAGTGGAATTGTTTGTAATCTTTGACCCAGTATGACCTATGCAGGTACTACACTCCGGCATATTCCAGATATTTGCTTTCCACATGTGGAGACTTCATTTCCACCTCCACCTCCCTCCCCTCCCCATGGTGATGGATCATTTATATAGACATATGGGAGAGGAAAAAGTTGAAATTCTCAAAATAAAAGCAGAATAGGCTAGGCATAGTGGCTCATGTCTGCAATCTCAGCACTGTGGGAGGCTGAGGTGGGAGGATCGCTTGAAGCAAGGAGTTTGAGACCAGCCTGGGCAACAAAGTGAGATCCCTCTACAAAAAAACAAAACAAAACAAAAACATTAGCCAGGCACAGTGGTGTGCACCTCTAATCCTAGCTACTCAGGAGGTTGAGGTAGGAGGATTGCTTGAGCCCAGGAGTTCAAGGCCACAGTGAGCTATGATCATGCCACTGCACTTCAGCATGGGTGACAGGGTGAGACCCTTCCTAAAAAAAAAAAAAGCAGAGTATTGACAATGTCATTTTTGACTTTGAAGTGAGCCATATAAGTGTCACATCACATGAGTGCAAGGAACACTGACATACTTCTTCAGCTGCTGCACATGAGCCTTACTTTAAAAATATCCATATGTAGCCTTGACTGTCTTTCGCTTTCTTCACACTTCAATCCTTTACTCCAAACATGTGATTAGTTCTGCAGCAGATACTTCTGCTTGATTCCAAATTATATCTCTAGAATGGCATTTTTTCTTAGCAGCTCCCACCAGCTGCTAGTAAGCATGCATAAGAGATAACAGGGAACAAGGATGAGAGTTCTTTGTGCTAACTCTTATGAGAATGGAAGAAAGCCACCTTACAACTTAGGACTGCATGAAAAAAGAAATGCTGAATAAAACAAATCAAATGCACACAGCAGAAGTTTCATAAATTTCATGACAATAATTTAATGTAAGAATTATTGTTAAGACTTATTGATAAACATCCAAGCTGAGTTGAATTGAATTGAACTGAATTTGGTTACTGAATTGAGCTAACACTTGTCCTGACATTTCCTGAAGGCTGGCACTTTCTCTGAACTCCTTACAGTCTGCACTAAGATTGCAGGTGATCTCTTATTTTCTTTTATCCTCTACCTCCTCTACCAAAAGTTGTCCATAGTATCAAGAGATGAAGCCCATGCAATATCTGGGGACAGATCCTAGCTGACACTCATGAATTCTGTATATGGGAGGTCTGAATAGGGAATCAAGGTCTCTGTTTCACAATTTTTCCCAAGTTCACAGAGAACTGACACACTGTTTTTAGGAGAACCTCATCTTTTTGAGAGATCAGATTTGTCTCATCTAAGAACAAGTCTCAACAGAAAGGTTCGGACTTCTTGAGAGGTCTTCTAATGTCTCAAAGTAGCAAAATGTAATGGGCAAATTCATGTACCTTCAGAATTCATGTAGGTGATAGTCTGATATTTCTTTTTGTTTCCTGAAGACAAATGTCTTTATAAAATATTAACTCATCTATACAAACCTGACTATGTGAAATGAATGTTTAATCTGTAAAATATATTATGAAGAGTATAGCAGCTGCTTCCAATGTTATCGGAGTATAATTGATTTTAATTATTTAGGTATTTCAGGTTTTACTTCCTGGATGATTAGGAGAGAACTAATGTTTGCATGGAGAATGAGTGTGGGCCAAGAAGTAGATAAAGGAAGTGAATGGAGAGCCTTCAATAGTTCTCTAGATTGTGAGAAGCTGCTGAATATTCAATAACGAGGTCAATTCTACCTGTGCAGTGGTCCTGGTTCTGCCCTCTTCTTTCCACTGCCCCCACATAAGTCATCATTACCTCTTGCTGGACTGTTGTGATAGTCATCCACCTGGCCTTCCAGGATCTTTTATGTCCTGTCTTGAATCAATCCTGTATCAATCATTTATCCAAGAAATATGTAACAAACATCTACTTTGTAGGTAGCAGGGTTTTTTTAAAATGCTGTCACAGGGCTCTTTAGAGGGATTTCAAACACTATCACAGGGATCTTTAGAGGGAAAAGGCTTTAAGATACACCCACCCATTCAATTGGCTTTTTTTTTTTTTTTTTTTTTTTTTCTGAGACGGAGTCTTGCTCTGTCACCCAGGCTGGAGGGCAGTGGTGCAATCTCGGCTCACTGCAAGCTCCGCCTCCCGGGTTCACGTCATTCTCCTGCCTCAGCCTCCCAAGTAGCTGGGACTACAGGCGCCTGCCACCACGCCCAGGTAATTTTTTTTTTTTTTTTGTATTTTTTGTAGAGACGGTGTTTCACCATGTTAGCCAGGATGGTCTCGATCTCCTGACCTCATAATCTGCCTGCCTCGGCCTCCCAAAGTGCTTGGATTACAGGCGTGAGCCACTGCGCCCAGCCCTGAATTGACTTTTAAAGAGAATTACCTAATGGGGTGTTCTGTTTCCCAAATTCCCAGTGGGATCTATGAGTAGGAGTGTGTTGTGTGTGTGCGTGTATATGTGTGTGTGTCCCCTCTAGGTAAGGACCTGATACTACTTTGCTTTCTTCTCTGAAGAAGACAAAAATATTTTCAATTATTTATAACACTACACTAGTAAAAGCCTGTGATCCATAAAGAGAAATTCGATATCATTTTGTCCTTCCGATTCCCCATATAACTGCCATCATTTTTCCAGTTAATTCCAAAGGATCTAACGACCTTTTTCCTCACAGAATCTCTTGTCTTTTCAAATTTTATTTTATTTGACATATATTTATGTCCTTTTTCAAAAAACAGCCTTGAGGATGTTTTCAAATATAGATGTATATACATTATTTTGAACAATTTTAAAGTTATTCTGGGATGACTTTTATTTCTCCATGTAAATTTATAAATCTGGAAGGCTTTGTTGTGTGTTTGTGAATAACGACTAGCAGTTTTAAGAATCTTTTTTTGATCTTAAGAGGTTTATTCAATAAGTTGCCTATAATAGATGCCTTAGGAGAAATACTTCATTTGTATTCTAAGATTGCACGTTGCCTTATTTACGTTTGTTGAGAAATGAGAGCTATCTGCTTGGGATCAGCCAAGAAGTACGGTGGAGAGGGCTTAGGTTCTGAAGGAGACTTGGACTTCAATGCAGTGTCAGCCTCTGGCTGGCTCCATGATCTCCTGGGAGAGGCACTTCAGATCTGGGTGCTTTCCTTTCCTCCTCTGTGAAACATCACAGATTGCTGCTAAGGTAGGTGAAACTGCTCTGTGAACCTTGAAATATTCTGTGAGACATGCGCTGCTTAGGAGAAGGGGTGCCTTGAGCCAGTGATGTTCTTGCTAAACTAGTCATCTGTTCCTGATAGTAAAGAAATTGAAGCAAGTAAAGAAATTGAGGCAAGTTCTCCCCACTCCTACTTCTTCCTACCCAGATGAAATAAGTCTCCTTGCAGACATACTCTACAGGTATTGACTACAAGTATTTAATGGCTACAAATATTAAGAAGTGCTTTTTAAAAAGCATTAACATCACCCCTCAATCAATAAATTATTGAAGCTAATTGGTAAATCTGAAGAGACTTTGGTATAAATAGGCAAACATATTTTGGCCACGCTTGGTAATGAATACACCACTTATACCCTGGCCACTTTTTCAAGTCTTGCTTTAAGTTTTGTCCTTTTGCCTTCCACACTTTTTGGCACGATGCTAATAAGAGATATCCACAAGGCAGCCACCAGTATGTAGGATTACTTGATTACTTACCCATACTCGAGAAAATGTGCAAAATATGCAAAAAATCTAAATAAACAGTATTCAACAAAATTGACCTCTTTTTATTTCTTGGAGTTACAATATTCTGGCCTTTCAAGAAAATGGTTATTCAACAGATGAAGGATAACGAACCACTATTACACAGGAATTAAAACCTGCTGGCTAGACAGAAACTCAAGAGAAAATAAAATCTTTCTTTCCAGCTTTAGAATTGAATCCATGCATTGATCTAACCACAGACTTTCCCAAAGACCTGTGAAGTTTATTAATGAAAAATCAGATTGTGGGAATAGTAAGAATTTTTTTTAGACAATGTATACTGCTCTATCTCCATGCTACTTCTCATATTTAAAAGTCATTACATTAATTGTTATTTTTATGTTTCAGCATGTGCAGGTCAACATAATCTTTTTAAATATAATGTCAGGTGAAGTTGTTTTCTTTAAAAATTGACTGGCACATGTTTCCACCTACTTGTTTACTTCTGTCTTCTTTCCTCAGTGGGGTGATGTGTTATCTGGGGACATTTTGGTCACCGTCAATTCTTTTTCCTTTTTGTCACTCTAACTGCCTGCTTGAATTTCACAAGCTGCTGACTCAGACCACTATCATCTTCCTTGAAGTCTAGCCTTTGCCAACAAGCCCAGCTTGGCTATTTTTATAAGCCATGTCAACCAGTTGTTTGAATGGATCAGCCCATTCCATCATAGGAATTGACCTGGTTACTCCATAGGCACAAGGAGATGAGAAGGGAGGGGGAATGGGTGAGAAAAGGAACCTAAGCTGAGCAATGCAGAAGCCATTGAATTGTGACTTCCAAGAACTTAAAAATCACTGATTAGTCAGCCACTCGTTGGAGGAAAAAAGTAAGATAAGACTTTAATCCCTGAGGACTTATTTCTAGTATTTGTTCTATAGGAAGAAATAGAAGTGCCATAGTTTTCAGTCTCTCTTTCAGTCATCCCTTTTCTCTCTTATTCCTCTATTTATTCATGCCAATCACGGTGTTGAGAGCTAATGAAGAGTTGAGGTGGGGCAGAGGTGAGGGTGATTCAAACGTAAATGAACATAAGTCCTGCTCTTCAGGACATTCCCCACCTGTAAAGGAATGAAACACACACAAATATAAATTGCCATGATGGGCAGGTTACCACTGTCCTTACTGCCAGCACTGCCCCAGCCCTGGTTGTCCCTCTGTTCCATGAGCCCTTTTTCTGTAAAATGCTTGAAGATCCCATGTCTCCCACAGTTCTGGACACACAGCAAATGAGCAAAAGAGCTGCTTGTGTTTCATTGGTTTAGTAACACTCCATTTCTTTTCTCTGATTATTAAATGAATTTGCATATATTTAGTTGGCCTATGAGATATTAGACCTGGAAATGTTACAAAGTAATTTTACCTGAATTTAGTAGATTTAATATTTTAAAAAATGTCCCCATCTTCCACCCCCAAATTAATCATTTTAGTAGTCAGGGACAACTGTTATATAACACAGTCTTCTTAGCTGCTCAAAGGTCAACAGTTAATGATTGATAGATCAGGAGCATCTCTGAATTTTGAAATCATGGAGTGTGATCCACATGGGTGCTATGATTCAGATGACCTGCACCCCTAGGCCTCTTTATTTTAAAAATATACTTTTACTTCAAATAAACATACTGCTCTTTTAAGTTCTTTGTCTTATTAAGACAATATTAACATAAGTTACCAAGCTGTACGAAGCTTATGTTGACTTCACATTTGAAAATTTGACATTAACTTGAGCATTTAACAATTCAAAACATTTTCTGGTCACATGCAAAAAGTTAAATTGGGGTGACAAATTCTAATGAAATAAAGACAATTCACAAAGGTTCCTGTCACAATTTTTTCTTGAGAGCAAGGGCACTGCATAGTTGAATTTCTTGGCTCTAAAGATGAACACGGTGTGATAGCTATGGAATTGGATAAGCCAAGAAAGCCTAGGGGTTAAATAGAAAATCTTGTGGGTCACGAGTTCTTTGAAATAAACCATTCTATAAAGGAACAAGGGTTTACTTATTATCCATGTGCACAAAGCTGCCAGGAAGAAGTGTTACGGTCATTTATTCCTGTAAATCCCCACAGTGATGGATTTTCCATCAGGTTGACAGATTGCTTTTTTCTCTCTCTCCAACTAAGACACAGGCACATCCTCTTCCACTTGTAGGATGGGGCCATTATCCATCTGTGAAGCTGGGCCTCACAAGGTCTTACTGAAATAGGAATAACTGTCAAATGAAATGTTTGAAGGATTCCTTCAGAAAAAACAAATGGTAGCAGTGTTATCCTCTCCTGAGGCTGGTTGAGAGGCAGTGAAGCAGGTGTGTTTTGAGGGGCACAGATAGGGCGGGGCCTGAAGAGGGCTGGCTGGCCATCCAGAGAGGTCCTCACGAAGAGATGTTTTTCTCAGTGAGCCTGTCCACTGCTTTCCAGGGGGATGACCTTAGACTTGTAAGCTCTTGTCTTAGTTCATTTGGGCTACTATAACAAATTATCATTAACTGAGTAGCTTATAAACAACATTTATTTCTCACAGTTCTGGAGGCTGGAAAGTCTAAGATCAAGGTGCCAGCAGATTCAGTGTCTGGTGAGGGCCCATTTTCTCATTCACAGATGATGATGCCTTCTTGCTGCATCCTCCCATGGTGGAAGGGGCTAGCTAGCTCTCTGGGGCCTCTTTTCTTAAACGCACCATTCACATGCATGAGGGATCTGTCCTCATAATCTAATCACCTCCCCAAAGCCCCATCTCTCAATACTATCCCATTGGAGGTTTGGTTCCAACATATAAATTTTGGGAGACACCAGCATGATGTGGATGATAGCAGCTCTGAAACTCATCGTAACCCAACATTCTTTGGACTTAAAGATGAGACCTTTAGCTAACAAAACTTACCATGAGGTAGAAACACAGAATTCCAGTGTATTAGATTTTAAAGGGAAATGTGACTGTCAAGGAGATCTCACATTTAGGTCAGTCTGATCAGTGCAAAGTACCTGAGACATTTACTTTGGGGAATCAGGAGAGTTGGTTATGTGAAAAGAATGTGCAACAAACATCAACTCTGGCAGTGTGATGTATCCATCACTATAATAAGAATATGCTGGCCAGGGAGCCTGGGTAAATCCACTTCTTGTTGCATGACTTGGACACACACAATTCAAGTTTGCTTGCAATCTTAATGTGACTTTAAATATCTCTCTTTACTCCAAATTATGCTGGACTTACGTCATAGCTTAACTCTCAAAGAGCATTCTCACTTTCCTTATTTCTAGGTTTTAAGGACCATCCCTGTCTCACCTCCATGGACTGTCTACAATATGCATGGTCAAAAAGTAGACCCGTTCTGCAACCGGACAGCAGAGAAATGTGTCTGTGATACCCACACAGTCAAGAGGCACACTTAAAATAGCATCAGACCCTAAAAAAAGATAGGAAATGACCACAGACCAGTGGGCCAGACAGCACATGTATCCTCTGTCCAGGACCCATGGCCACTGTTGGCAGGCCTACCACTGAGGCAAATCCTACTAGGAGGTGGAAGTCATGAAAAGAGTTTTTCCACATTCCTTTCTGTGATCTACAGTAAAAACCTCAGGGAGATATTGAATCATCTGCTGTTTTTTACAACCCCAATTAAACAAAATTTTCTGCACCTCCTTCTCCTTCCGCATTCTTCCCCCCACCCAGTTTCCTTCTTCCCCCTTTTCGTCAATGGAGTGGTGTGGAGGAGGGTAACTGAAGCTAGGTTGGGGATTTGTTCCCAGACCACAGGAATTAGAAACAATTTAAACAAATGTTTAAATTATCAGGATCCTCTTTGTTTCTAGCTTAACTAAGAATTGCAAACGGTATCTATGAAATTTCTCTTTTTCACTTCCCATGTGCTGTTTCCAATGCAGTTTCATGAAGACACATACACAAAATCTTCTAAAATCCTTGTCTTTTCACATCACACCAAACAGTAATACTGTTGATTACACAGGTAAAACTTGCCTCAAAAGATGTTTTGTAGTCGATATACATTAAACCAAAGCAGAGTATTTTGGGGACCCTTAACACCTAATTTTTTTTTTTTTGTTAATCAACACTTTCATGTTTTCTTGAAGCTAATATCAGTTTAGGTGCTTATCACTGTGCAAGGCAATATGATTCTAATCAAGCCAGCAAACGTAACTAAGAAGGCCTGCTGCCTGTTGCTAGAGGGCTCGGAGGGCCTTCAGATGCCAGTGAGACCCCAGCCTCAGCTGGTGTCCTGGTTCAAAAGAATTCGGGGATGAGTCCGAATGATGCGAAAGGCAAGAAGCTTTGATTCCAAAAATGAAAGTACACAGTTGAGAGAGAAGTGCAGGCGTGCTGACGAGAACAAATCACACACAATTAAGTTTAGGTTTTTAATTTTATGGGTGTTTCTTTAATTAGGGGGTGGAATAATCATTCTGGAAAAGGAGAGGATTTCGGGGACCCTTGTTACCATCCCCTTTTTCTCTTTTTCGGGTTTGCCAGAAAGAGTCATAGATATGTCAACCTGACCAGGATTTTGGCCATTTGTTGTCCCTTCTTTTGGGTTTTCCATCAGCCCATGGTTTATTTGCCTAGTTATTGTTTTAGCTGTGGTTGGGGGTTTTCTATCCTCCTGTGCCTGCCCAGTGCTATTCCTATTTCAGACCCATCAAGTGCATTATGAAAGCAATATTTGCATACATTTGGAAATACTAAGGTCTCATCTCCAAATTATTGAAATCCATAATTTCAGATCAATCAAACTAAATAGTCATACCCTAGGAAGTTCTGTCTCATAAGAATAAAGCAAATGTGGCACATATACACCATGGAATACTATGCAGCCATAACAAAGGATAAGTTCATATCCTTTGCAGGGACTTGGATGCAGCTGGAAACCATCACTCTCAGCAAACTAATACAGGAACAGAAAACCAGACACCACATGTTCTCACTCATAAGTAGGAGTTGGACAATGAGAACACATGGACACAGGGAGGGCAACATCACACACCGGGACCTGTCAGGGGGTGGGGGGCTAGGGAAGGGATAGCATTAGGAGAAATGCCTAATATAGATGACGGGTTGATGGGCGCAGCAAACCACCATGGCATATGAATACCTGTGTAACAAACCTGCACATTCTGCACATGTATCACAGAACTTAAAGTATATATATAGCATCATTGAGTATTTTCATATTGCAATGTATGCTATTTGTTTGTTTGTTTTAATTTCAAAATAGAAATCTAAGCAATGTCTTTCAGAGATCAGCTACTAAGGAAAATGCAACATCATCTTATGCCTGCTCCTTTGTATTTATTTTAAAACAAGTTAATCTATGAAAACATCTATTTTGAAGAGAACTTTAGAGAACTTAGGCTATTTTTTAAACTATCTAGCCTATAAATTCCCCAAGAGTGAACACTTGTCTGCCTCTGACCACTCAGTTATTCAGCTATCCAGTTCTCAGCATGGAAATTGGCAAAACATTTTCCCATCTTAGCAGCTTCTCATCACTGTAGCCTTTTCTAGACATTAGCAAAATATGTTGTAAAATCTTTTTAAAATATAAAGCATGTTACACTTAAGTATAAATTGCTAATATCTTAAAATATTGTTCCAACCCAAGATATTTAAAAATCTTTACCAGGAGAAAAGTTTCAACCTAAAGAGATAGTGTAGGAAGAAAACAAAACATTGGCCTGACTTGGAACCCACAAGGGCCCAGTGGTCCAGTCCTGACACTGCAGTTACTAGCCGTGGGACATTAGGCTACTTGTGTCAGCATTCTGAGCCTCATTCTCTTCTTTCAGAGAAAGGGGTCTGCGTGGAGCTTTGAGACATCTTCAATTTCATATATTGAAGTAGACATTCCAGATGGAGGGGAGGTTGGAGAACTCTGGGACCTTAAAGAACAGGTGTAGTGGGAATAAGACAGGCTGGAAGTATGAGAGGCTGTCAGAGCATGAGATACTAGAATTCAAGATTCAACATTAGAATAGTTACTGAGGGTAAGGCCAAGGGAGTGAGAGGCTACAGTGAGGTGGTAGCAAAGTCTATTGCAGGTGGGGTCAGGAAATGTGGCTAGGATTTGATGGAGATCTCCCTGGGTAATAAGAGGGATTTTGGTGAGAAGAAAGACTGTGAGCTGGAGCCCAATATCTTTAGTGAATATAATACACGACCTGGAAATTAGTAGAGCATAGTAACTTGGTGCAGCCATGTAAGTGCCAGACAGACTTTAGTTCAAATCACAGCTCCACCGTGGACCACTGCTAGTTTTTGGGCATGTTGCTTACCATGTCGAATCACAGTACACTCAACTATAAACTGTGAGAAATAAATACGTCTATCCCACAGAGCTGTTATGTGTAGCAGATGCTAGTATAATAATTACCTACCCAACAACCATTTGCATCTTCTTTTTTACTAACAAAACAAAATCCTTTATGAAGCTAAATGCTCAAGCTAAGTTGGTCCCAGCCTTAGACCCACTGGGTAGATCTTGATTCGTCTTAGCCAGTCATGGTGATCCCTTCTTCCTTTCCAATGATTGACTTATGAAAGACTCAATACTGGACAGTGTGATGTAGGATAAGCTAAGATGACTTCTGGGAAATATTTCCTATCTTTTTACTTTGGTGTGTGAAGATGTGATGCCAAGAGCTTCTGCAGCTATCCTGAGGAAAACTAGCAGATAAGCTAAGCTTAATGAAAGAAACCCTTAGTTACCTATCAAAGGCAGTATTTGAAAGACTAATGACAAAATTTCTGAAAACAGTTTGGAACTTGAGAATTTGGATTGAAATATAATCTAAACATTGTTCCTTCTTAGCAACATAGAAATTGCATTATTATCTTTAAAAGGAGAATAGAGAGAGAGACCTTGAAATGAGAAGCTAACAGATCTGTCTTTTAAAACCAGCAGTGACTGGAACTTAATGAATAAATTATTGGATGTTCTACCCTTCTACCCCTGTAGTTATTATGTGCCTTAGGAGGTAGATTAATGTTGGTTCAAGAAGTATAAAGTGAGTCATAAGAAGAGAATCTGATTCAATGATCTTGACATTTATTAAATGCCAAAGATGATAATTTAAACTGTGTTTTTTTTTTTTTTTTTAGATTTTTAGGGGAGGTGTCCCATTATCTAAATACATTTAAGAGACAAAGCTGGCTGTGAATGTAGAGTGATTCAGACAGCATATATTTATTCACAGAACTTATAGCTATTGACATATGGGAGAGCAATCCAGAAAGTGAACACTGTAACCTCATCCTTATTTTCCTACCTGCCCACTTTTCAAAGGGAAGAAGCTGTCTGACTTATTGGCTGAAAGCCTCATAGGCAACTTAAATAGTTTATCAACTTTGAGTCTATACTTCAAACTTTAACTGAACCGAACAAGCAAGCTGTACACACTATAAATGGGAACATTGTAAACATATATTTGGATGTGTGCAGGATGTACAGGATCAAAAATATTTAACAATCATTAAGGCATGAAAACTGACAATTGGAGTGAATGCCAGCTGTGGGCTGCAGCAGAGTCTTGAGAGGCCAATATTTTTTCAGCCATCAACCCTTCAAGTTTTACATCGTGGGGTGGTGGGAGGATCCCAGAGGAAGAGCTAGATGGCTAGAGAAGGGGTGCTGTTTGCCAACTGGTATGGGACTACTTCAATAATTTAATAAACAGTGTGGCCACACTGGAACATACCAAGTAAACACCAATCCTGAATACAGAAACTCATCGAAGTTGTCTTTTGACTGCTAAGGAAACTGACCCAGAATGTAACTGACCTGTCCAAAGTCATATCCAGTTAGCTAGCTGCATACCCAGGGCTATATTCCAGGTTTCATGCTTCCTAGTCTTTTACTATTTTCATCTCTGTATTCTAGGGAGAAAATGAAAACAAAAAAGTCCCAATTTTTGACCATCCAGGTCAAAGGAAAGGTCCAAAACTAAAAAACCAAAAGTAACCATTTTTAACACTAAATTGAAACCATCAACACACTGATAATTTGATTAATGATGCAATTTTTCCTTTGCTTACCTTAGGAAATCAAATAATTAAATCTAATTTTGGAGTGTTTATTTTATTTTTGTTTTATTACTCTGTCACCCAGGCTGAGTGCAGTGGCACAATCTGAGCTCACTGAAGCCTCGAACCCTGGGGCTCATGCAATCTTCTTTTTATGGGCTCCCAAAGTGCTGGGATTACAGGCATGAGCCACTGCACCTGGTCAGTGTTTATTTTAAATTGTGTTATTTTTAACTACTCATTCTTTATTTTATTTTGTTTTTTTGAGATGCAGTCTCACTCTTTCACCCAGGCTGGAGTACAGTGGTACAATCTTGGCTCACTGCAACCTTCGCTTCTTGGGTTCAAGTGATTCTCCTACCTCAGCCTCCTGAGTAGTTCGGATTACAGGCATGTGTCACCACGCCCAGCTAATTTTTGTATTTTTAGTAGAGAAAGGGTTTCACCATGTTGGTCAGGCTGGTCTCGAACTCCTGACCTTGTGATCTGGCCGCCTCGGCCTCCCAAAGTGCTGGGATTACAGGTGTTAGCCACCACGCCCAGCCTCATTCTTTATTTTTAATACAGAAAGAAAACTCGTTACTGACTTAGAGTAAATGTGATATAGTAGCTTAAAAATAATTAATTTGGAGGCAATTGAGTAATTAATTTGGAGGATTGAGTGTTCTGCTGCTTATTAGTTACGTAAACTTTGGACCTGAATCTTTGCATTTCTGAGCCTCACTTTTCTAATCAGTAAAGTGGAGGTAAACAAAGAGCAGGATTATTGAGAAATGGCCACAGAATGGAGTGCAGGCCATTCTGAGATGATGGAAATTTTTGTTTGTTTTGCTTTTTTTGAGACAGTCTTGCTTTGTCACACAGGCTGGATTGCAGTGGTGCGACCTCAGCTCACTGCAACCTCCCCCTCCCAGATTCAAGGCATTCTCATGCCTCAGCCTCCTGAGTAGCTGGGATCACAGATGAGCACCACTACACCCAACTAATTTTTGTATTTTTAGTAGAGACGGGTTTTCACCATGTTGGCCAGGCTGTTCTCGAACTCCTGGCTTTATGTGATCCACCCACCTCAGCCTCCCAAAGTGCTGGGATTACAGGCATGAGCCACTGTGCCTGGCCGCATGACGGAAATTCTATAATTGGTGTCCTCCAATGCAATATCCACTGGCCACAGGTTGGCTGTTGAGCACTTGAAACATAGCAAGTGCAACTGAGGAACTGAATAAATTTTATTTAATTTTATTTAATGTATGTTTACATCTGAATAGCCACATGTGCTTGGTGGTTCCTGTATTGGACAGTGCAGGTATGTAGACAGCAGAGGGAGATGCAGAAGTGCAAGGAGAACTTAAGATGCCAAAGCCAGGAGGTACTGAAAAGAGAGAGAGAGAGAATGAATCCATCAGCCTGTGTCTGTTTCTGAGTTTTTGCTCATTTCTAATCCATGCTTACCCCTCGAAGATCCTCCTTTTTCTTGAAGTAACTTCAGTGCATCTTGTTCCTTCTCACAGAACTCATCTGAATGTTCACACTCAGAACTAGTGAGATTAGAGAAAGGATCAGAAGCCAGGTGTCCTGATATTCCTTAAAGCTCCTTCCAGTAATGTCATGCTCCTGTCTTTCTCTTTCCAAAGAGAACCTATGTGTACACACACACGCACACACACACACACACACACAATCATTTCTCTGAGACTTGTTCTGGCTTTGAAAATTTATGTAAAATTTTAATATCAATTTTATTTGCAAAAGCATGTTTTCAGGAAGTAGTCTGACTTGCCACAAATTTCTTTGGATGTAATTGTGTTGGACATTTTTTATCTTGTTTATTGCAAGAAACTTTTAATATGCTTGATAGCTTCAGTGTTATGTCCATCCTTTCCCTGCAGTGGCTGACTTCCTGCTGCACCAGTCCAGGCATTTTTGTGCCAGTTCCCATATGTTCATGTAGCCCCAAGGCAGATTTGCTGATATGCAGTGGGTTGAAAAAGAATACTTCTACGAGCGCAACATTGCATACCAAGGAGATTATCTTTTAGAAAGACTTAAAAGTCCAACAGATATGCCACAAAAGGTTAGATGACATTGATGGTTAGCAACTAGGAGTGGTAAGCACAGATATTAATGGACAGTACACAATCATTCATCTTGACTCTAGATTATACACCGAACTAAAAAATAAAAATGGATTGCTTTAATAATCCCTTTCTTTCTCATCTTCTCATTTAATGGGTTGGAGATGCTAAACCTTCTGTACTAACCCAATAATAGTTGGTAGAAATAATGGATATTTAAACTATGTTATCTGGCTCTGGGAAAGCCACTCCTAGAAAATGGGAAGAGGGGCTGGATGCGGTGGTTCATGCCTGTAATCCCAGCACTTTGGGAGGCTGAGGTGGGCAGATCACAAGGTCAGGAGTTCGACACCAGCCTGGCCAATATGGTGAAACCCTGTCTCTACTAAAAATACAAAAAAATTAGCTGGGCGTGGTGGTGCATGCTTGTAATCCCAGCTACTTGGGAGGCTGAGGCAGGAGAATTGCTTGAACCTGGGAGGCGGAGGTTGCAGTGAGCCAAGATTGTGCCACTGCACTCCAGCATGGGCCACAGAGTGAAATTCCATCTCAAAAAAAAAGAGGAAAAATGGGAAGAGGTTTATTTACTTCTAAATTTGACCAAAGAAATACCATTAATTAATTAATGGCTTAAAAGTGGTATAGAAACATGAACTCAGAAGACCTATCAATGCTTATTTCTCATTAAGATGCATTTCAGAATGCATCCTATTGTTCTTTGGGTGCTAATGAATCCATATTTAAAACATGCACACAAAAGCATCTCTCATGCTTCTGAGACAATTGCTGTAAAAATGCACCAGTTGATGGTTTGCTTAAATGGAGCAAATTGTCACCAAGTTGCACAGCCTTATTATCTGTACTGTCACTGCAGAAAATCTCACTGTGTATGTGACCTGAATGCTTATTACCTAGTGGAAAATTCCATAAATGCAGAATAGCCTACAGCACTCAACATCTGCCTTTATTTTTTTTTTTTTTATAATCAAACACAAGGGATTGCCAGGGAATAGCTCCCAAAACCATGGGGCCTCTTTACAATCCTCTGTCATTTTTGTCTATCTATATTAATTCTTAAACTGCATCCATTCAAATTGCCATGCTTCAGCCCTGAGGAATGTAAATAAGGAGGCAATTATGAAGATGTGTTTTCCGGTGCCACACATTTAAATGATTAGCTGAAAGTCAAATGTTAATGTCACAAAATAGAGAAATAAAATATATTCAAGGTATTTTGCCCATAGTTAATAGGCTAAACTAGAGCAAGCAATCTAACATTGCAAGGAAATTTGAATGTGGAGACTCAGTGTTCTTTTATTAGCTAAATGTACAGAACAGTAGATATATTTCATTTGCTTTAGCCTCCAGGCAGGATTGGAGGGATTGTGGGGGTAAAGGTGAAGGAAGAAAATGTGTGGAGATGGATTGTATGACAAAATGTAAGTGTACAGTTAGGCAGGGATGTGAGATGAGAAGACAATTCAGAGCACAGTCCTCAACCTAAAGTTGCCAAGTGCTCACAGACAGCAAGGAAATTCTTTATTTTGTAGAAATAAGCTATGAGCTCTCTTGAGCCCCTTCCTTCTCTGGGTCCCACCCCCTCCTTTAAGTTAATTTGAACAAACATTAACTATAAAGTTTGTAATGTCTTGAATCACCCCAATTTTTATTTCTCATGCATTATGAAGCTATTCTCTTGAGTAATTTCATAGAGTCATAAAGTCCAATATGAGTTGAATTGTGTGTCCTCCCAAAAATATGTTGAAATCCTAACCTATAATACCTCAGAATGTGACCTTATGTGGGAATAGGGTCCTTGCAGATGTAATAAGTTAAGATGAGGTCATAGTGGAGTGGGGTAGACCCCTAATTCCATATGACTGGTGTTTCTATGAGAAGACAGCCATGTGAAGCCACAGAGATACACAAGCAGAAGGCCACGTGAAGCTGGAGGCAGAGACTGGAGTGATGCATCTACAAGCCAAGGAACACCAAGCATTGCCTATGTTCACCAGAAGCCAGGACACAGACATGAAACAGATTCTCCCCCAGAGCCCCCGAAAGGCACCCGCCCTGCTGACATCTTCCTTTCAGACTTGTAGCCTCCAAAACAGTGAGAATAAATTTCTTTTGCTTTAACTTATCTAGTTAGTGGTTGGTATGGCAGCCTTAGGAAACTAACATAATAATATTTTAAAGAAAACTTAACGTTTCTCCCTTTAGATGACAATTCCAGCCATAATCCAATAACAAAAGTGCTTGCTAGCATTTATTACTTACTGAAGACATGCCAGACACCATCCAGTTTTCCTCAGCAGAACCTACCAGATCACTGCCACAGAAACCAGGCCACCTTGCAACCCTCCTCCAGTATTCAGTGATTCTGCTCTTGCCCATAGATGGTCCACTCAGCAGTCACAGTTTTGAGTCTCTAGAATGCAGTTCTCCAAATTTCCAAAAATTCCCTCTGGGCTACATCCATGTAACTAATACATTGCTCCCTGGAGATAGGCCTAGGAGGAAGTCAAAAAGTCAACTCAACATCATCTGGAAAGCATGAACTCAGAACAAGGTGTGTTACTGGATGAACTAAATATTTTATGGCACCAGATATATCCATTGCAAAAACAAGGATAGTGTTTGGGCTGGTACATTGCTGTCACCTCCTCTGTCACAGAAGCATGAACTGAGCAGGTTCAGCTTTGCTTGGCACCTTTTTTCACAGCTCCCAGAGCCGACCAATCTCTTTCTGAGAGGTTACTGTTTTATTTTACATGTTTTATTTTTAAGCTACATTAGTGTATTAATCAATGATACAATTATAGTTTGGTCTGTGTGTTAGTCCGGGAAGTACATGTCAAGATGGGATTAAACATGCATGGATTTTATTAAAGGAGGGAGCTGAGGAAAGCTGGGATAGTCATTGGTCTATGATGCAAGCCTGACCCTGAAGGAAGGAGAAAGGGGAAGGGCAGGAGGAAGCATCTTAGACATTTACAGTTGGAGGAAGGTTCATCAAGGTATTGGGGGCAGGATGTGGGGCAAGAAGGGTCACTTGTGGCAAAGTGGGCTGTAGAAATGCCCTATCTTGCAGAAATGCATCTGCCTTAGTGTTTCTGTTGCACTCAATCATGGCTGGGAGCAGCCCATGGGAAGCTTGGCCTCAGTACAACATGGCGAATGATTTCAGAGCATGGAAGCTAGAGCCCTTGGTCAGTTATGCATCCTGTCTTTCATGACCCATACACCACAGCCTGGGAGCCATACTTTTTCTTTAAGGGGACTGATTGCCTATCTTAGTAATGTGTTGATTTAAAATTTAACTACCAGAGGCAATTTCACTTCTCATTTATTGGAAGAAATTTCCTGTGGCATGACCTCCAAGTATTTATAATATCTATCTTGTTTTATTCTATTTACTTCTTATACATATGTGTGTGCAAATATATTTATATATACACACAATATTATGCATCTCTTAATAGCAAGAATATGTTCTGGGGAATGCATCACTAGGTGATTTTGTCATTGTGCAAACATCATAGAGTATACTTGCACAAACCTAGATGGTATAGCCTACCTACTATACACCTAAACTATATGGTAAAGTCTACTGCTCCTAGGCTACAAACCTGTACAGCATGCTACTGTACTGAATACTGTAGGCAATTATGACACAATGCTGGGTATTCATGAATCTAAACATATTCATACATAGAAAAGGTACAGCAAAAGTATGGTGTAAAAGATTTAAAGTAATGGTATAAAGATTTAAACGGTATAAATATTTAAAGTACAGTAATGCCCTAGGCCTTCATGTTCACTCACTACTCAATCACTGACTCACCCAGAGCATCTTCCAGTCCTGCAAGCTCCACTGTGAATGAGTGGTGAGTGAACAGGAAGGCCTAGGACATTACTGTACACTACTGCAGACTTTCTAAAGACTGAACACTTAGCCTACACTGAATTCATAAAAAAATTTTTTCTTGCTTCAATAATAAATTAACGTTAGCTTACTGTAACATTTTTACTTTATAAACCTTTGCATTTTTTAACTTTATGAATCTTTTGTAATAACACTTAGCTTAAAGCACAAACACATTGTAGAGCTGACAAAAATATTTTCTTTCTTTATAGCCTTGTTCCATAAGCTTCTTTGTATATATGTGTATGTACATATATATACACACATATGTACATGCACATATATATAAAATATATATATATATATATATATAAATCCCATGTCTAAGGTCAACCAGCTGGCTCTCACCTTCTCATGTCTAAGGTCGACCAGATGTCTCTCGCCTTCCCATGTCCAGTATTTATTTATTATATTGTATTATTTATTTATTTATTTTTGAGACAGAGTTTGTCTCTCTTGCCCAGGCTGGAATGTTGTGGTGTGATCTCAGCTCACTGCAGTCTCGATCACCAGGGCTCAGCAATCCTCCTGCCTCATCCTCCTTAGTAGCTGGGCTACTGATGTGCACCAATTTTTGTATTTTTTGTAGAGATAAGCCTTCACCATATTGCCTGTGCTGGTCTCAAACTCTTGGACTCAAGTGGTCCACCTGCTTTGGCCTCCCAAAGTGCTGGGATTACAGGCATGAGCCACAGCACCCAGCTGCTGCTTTATATTTTTAAAATGTCTTTTTTTTATTCTTCTTAAAATTTTTTTAAACCTTTTTTTTCTTTTTTTTTTGGCTAAGAACTAAGATGCAAACATACACATCAGTCTAGGCATATACAAAGTCAGGATCATCAATATCATTGTCTTCTACCTCCACATCTTGCCTCACTGGAAGGTCTTTGGGGCAATAATACACATGAAGCTATCATCTTCTACAATGCCTTCGGGAACACCTCCTGAAGGACCTGCCTGAGGCTGTTTTACAGTTAACTTTTTTTCATGAGTAGAGGGAGTAAACTCTAAAATAATGTTAAAAAGTATAGTTCAACATATAGCTTAACATGGTTATTGTGAGAACAACTAATCAGATAAATCATTCCAAGCCCCAGAGGTTATTTGAAGGGGTGGGGACTGAAGAGGAGCTGTATAGTAAATACATAAACCACTAGTATAGTTGTGTTGTTTATCATCATTATTGAGTATCATATACTGTACATAATTGTATGTGCTATACTTTTATACGACTGGAAGCGCAGTAGGTTTGTTTACACCAGCATGACCACAAATAAGTGAGTAATGCATCATGCTACATTACGATGGCTACGATGTCACTAGACAACAGGCATTTTTCAGCTCCATTAAAATGGAACGAATGTCACACATGTGGTTTGTTGTTGACTGAAATGTTATACAGCACATTACTCTGTGTGTGTGTATCTATATTTAAATGTTATGTGCTGCATAACATTTCAGTATACATATAGTGTGTATATATATTTACTGTATATATACACACATACATGCATACATATACATATATGTTTTAAAGATATATTACTGCACTTAAAAAAGAGAGGAAAAGCTATTGGAAGCTAAATACTTCCTGAGATATATAACTTTCCCCAAACCCATAGTGAAATGGTTCTTAAATAGAAAAGCCCTGTGTTAGTGCACCATATGATATCAGTTAGACATCACACAAATGCACATTCCTAATAGCATCTCAAGGTGAATAAATGATATACTTTATACATTGCTGCATATATCACATTTAATGAAACACCTACCTGAGTCTTAAAGACACTTTATCTTTAATTAGAACACATGCTGTACTCAGAAATAGTAATTTTGACAACTCTCAGTACTGAGAATGGGTGAAACAAACAACAGTGAACATCATTTTCACACCACTGTTCAGACAGCAATTTGAAGAAAATGCTGAGCACAGCTCCCCCTGCCTTGTCAGTGAATGTTGCCTGGAGATTTGTGAGAACACGTGCACACGTTGACTCAGCAAGACCAAACTGACTGTACATCCATGATCCTCTGGGAGTGAATTGTTCTTAAAATAATGTGAAATATGAAGCATCCAAGAGGTGAAGGAAGCAGTGAAAAATACCATCTGCAAAATAAGAATCTTGGATTGTTGTCTTGTTTATACTTGAGCCTTCAATAAATTACTTAATTAGCTTCTTCTTGACCCATTTCTCTTTTATTTAGGCTGCTTAAAAAAAAAGTCCCTGGTAGTTTACATAGCACAGTTTAATACACATAAAAACACTTTAGCCTAATGGTTCCTTTAATGAAATTTATGTGAAAATGTCACTTCAATCATGAGACTTTTATATTTGTCCAGTTTTATTAATCTTTATAACTTGTGGGATATTTTTCAAAGATCTGAACTAAAAAAAAAAATTTGACTGGAAAAATGAGGAAAAACATTTTGAGTCTTTCTTTATCAAAGAATCATTTATTTTTTGTACTCCAGGAAACACTTATGCATCAAATTTACTAAAGGTTCATTAACAGTGCAGTAAGTCTAGAATAATCATAATCTAAAAAATAACAATCTTCAAGTGATCAGATTTTTGTCTTTCATAGTCAATAGTCTAATGTTATGGAAAAAATTACAAGTGAAAAATCATAACAACTTATAAGGTGCGTTTAATGTCAACATCCTTTGATATCTTTAGTTCTTTACAGTGTGCATCATGTTAATCAGTCACAACATCCTATGTTATTGTCAAAATGCTCTATTTGCTAAGACAAAAAATGAAATGAATTATTTTATAATTTTAATGACAGGAGACACAAAAAGGATTTTGGAATTTAGAAAGTTAACCCTTAGCAAGCCAGAAAGTAGGGTAACCAAATTCTCTCATTTAATTCTCTTAGACTTTGCTATACTTCTCAACACATATGGAAAATATACAGCTCCCTAAGGACGGTTGCAGCCTAACATCCCAAACCAAAGAGCATTGATTGTGTCAGTTGCTAGGAGGCCACAGTAGCATCAGTAACCTGCTTTCCTCTTATGCCCACACGGTTATCCTGAGAACAGTTAATCAGATAAATTATTCCAAGCTCCAGAGGTTATTTGAAGGCATGGGGACTGAAGAAGAGCTAAAAAGGGAAAAGGAGATGACTGCAACACTTCCCCAGCTCCTGAAGCAAAGAGACCTGGAAAGAAGGGAAAGCTAAATTTTTCTGGCACCTCTCACTCCATTACAAACACACACACACACACACACACACACACACACACACACACACACTCTCACACGATGCTGCACCTTTCTCGCTTCTTTTCTCACTGTTCCCCTTGACTTTCATTTAAACTTGACTTTGCACATGTAGAGTGCTTATGAGCTACAGAGGAAGGACACAGGCAGACCAAATAGCCTTGAGTCACACATTCCTCCAGGAAATTATCTTTGGGCCCTATGATTTACTGAGCAGGTGCTCAGTAACTGTATGTCAAATAATTGAAGGCATGCATGCCACCTACTGACATTAGGCTTAATTCTTACCATTCATTGGATGACTTATCCTCTTTCAGTTCTGAATCATTTCCTTCTGCATATTTGAGAGCTCCTATGCTGCTAGGAATTGCGGCTTTGGGAATTAAACATGATCATCCTGAACCCTAAAAATTCTGGAAAATATCTATAGAAGCTTGGGTTTTTCCATCCTGTCTTGGGCTCGTTCTAATTTTGTAAATGACTTTCACGTATTCTCTTGATAGTTCACCTGCAGCTTAAATTTTATGGGCACCTTCAAATGAAATTTTTATATAAATGATGCAATATGTGCATCAAAATCCATCAGAAATTGAAATTCCATGGTGAGAAAATAAATCACTAGAGAGTTTGTTTGTTTATATATAAAGAATGTGCCTATTTAATTTAATGCTCTATATGTAAACGATCAGCTTTAAAATGTAATAATCTATAAAGGATTCCAGATTTTTACATGTTTACATATTTAACATTCAAGAAGCTTGACTTGAATCCAGATCTTCAAGGTTCTGTTCCCACATGCCAGGAATGAAGCAGGTTAGGACACACTTGTTAATGTCTGCAGTTGAAGGCCATAATGACCCTTCTCCATTCTGCTGGATGCATACTTCCATCATGACCTAGGGTTTGCCTGCTAATTTCTACACAGGCTCAGAGCCTATGACAGAACCTCCTTAACCACCATGCTCTGTGGAGGTACCTATACAAAAATCCTGGGTCATCTTCCTTGGGAATGACATTATTGCAGGTTCAAGTCTTGTTATGGGTTGAAGTACTGTGTAGCATAATGTTATAGTGCTTAATACAAATTATACAAAGCAATTAAACATTGGCGAGTAAAGCTGTGTCAACAGGGAAATATTTAGTAAAAGATGAATCCACCTAGATAGATTTGTTTCATAAGCGTAAACCTGTTTGTGGCAAGGTTATGCTGGTGCCTTATAAACTCCAGCCCTTTGAATAACCTTAATGTGCACTTTTTCGTAGCCCACAGAGTTTCTATGACCATAACTTGCATACTTCTCAGAGCAGAAGGACTGAAACAATATCTATCAGTGGTTCTCACAAGAGCAGCAATAATTTTTTTCCAAAAGGTCTTCCAAAAGTCTTTAAAGATTTGTAATTACTGTTCATTTATTGTAAAATAAACATAAATTAAAAATTACAAGAAAATTAAAACTCAATTTCACCACCCAATAATTAACCACAGTTGACATTTGTCTAATAGGTTTCTGGATGTTTTTCTAGGCATATATGTATATACTTTCCAAAGACGGGAGCATATTGTACATACTCCATACGGGTGTTTTTTTTTTTTTTTTTAAATTGTTTTGTGATTTGGGGTTTTTTTTTTTTTTAATTTTTTTTTATTATACTTTAAGTTTTAGGGTACATGTGCACATTGTGCAGGTTAGTTACATATGTATACATGTGTCATGCTGGTGCGCTGCTCCCACTAACTCGTCATCTAGCATTAGGTATATCTCCCAATGCTATCCCTCCCCCCTCCCCCCACCCCACCACAGTCCCCAGAGTGTGATATTCCCCTTCCTGTGTCCATGTGATCTCATTGTTCAATTCCCACCTATGAGTGAGAATATGCGGTGTTTGGTTTTTTGTTCTTGCGATAGTTTACTGAGAATGATGGTTTCCAGTTTCATCCATGTCCCTACAAAGGACATGAACTCATCATTTTTTATGGCTGCATAGTATTCCATGGTGTATATGTGCCACATTTTCTTAATCCAGTCTATCATTGTTGGACATTTGGGTTGGTTCCAAGTCTTTGCTATTGTGAATAATGCCACAATAAACATACGTATGCATGTGTCTTTATAGCAGCATGATTTATAGTCATTTGGGTATATACTCAGTAATGGGATGGCTGGGTCAAATGGTATTTCTAGTTCTAGATCCCTGAGGAATCGCCACACTGACTTCCACAATGGTTGAACTAGTTTACAGTCCCACCAACAGTGTAAAAGTGTTCCTATTTCTCCACATCCTCTCCAGCACCTGTTGTTTCCTGACTTTTTAATGATTGCCATTCTAACTGGTGTGAGATGATATCTCATAGTGGTTTTGATTTGCATTTCTCTGATGGCCAGTGATGATGAGCATTTTTTCATGTGTTTTTTGGCTGCATAAATGTCTTCTTTTGAGAAGTGTCTGTTCATGTCCTTCGCCCACTTTTTGATGGGATTGTTTGTTTTTTTCTTGTAAATTTGTTTGAGTTCATTGTAGATTCTGGATATTAGCCCTTTGTCAGATGAGTAGGTTGCAAAAATTTTCTCCCATGTTGTAGGTTGCCTGTTTACTCTGATGGCAGTTTCTTTTGCTGTGCAGAAGCTCTTTAGTTGAATTAGATCCCATTTGTCAATTTTGGCTTTTGTTGCCATTGCTTTTGGTGTTTTGGACATGAAGTCCTTGCCCATGCCTGTTTGCAGACGACATGATTGTTTATCTAGAAAACCCCATCGTCTCAGCCCAAAATCTCCTTAAGCTGATAAGCAACTTCAGCAAAGTCTCAGGATACAAAATCAATGTACAAAAATCACAAGCATTCTTATACACCAACAACAGACAAACAGAGAGCCAAATCATGAGTGAACTCCCATTCACAATTGCTTCAAAGAGAATAAAATACCTAGGAATCCAACTTATAAGGGATGTGAAGGACCTCTTCAAGGAGAACTACAAACCACTGCTCAAGGAAATAAAAGAGGATACAAACAAATGGAAGAACATTCCATGCTCATGGGTAGGAAGAATCAATATCTTGAAAATGGCCATACTGCCCAAGGTAATTTACAGATTCAATGCCATCCCCATCAAGCTACCAATGGCTTTCTTCACAGAATTGGAAAAAACTACTTTAAAGTTCATATGGAACCAAAAAAGAGCCCTCATCGCCAAGTCAATCCTAAGCCAAAAGAACAAAGCTGGAGGCATCACGCTACCTGACTTCAAACTATACTACAAGGCTACAGTAACCAAAACAGCATGGTACTGGTACCAAAACAGAGATATAGATCAATGGAACAGAACAGAGCCCTCAGAAATAACACCGCATACCTACAACTATCTGATCTTTGACAAACCTGAGAAAAACAAGCAATGGGGAAAGGATTCCCTATTTAATAAATGGTGCTGGGAAAACTGGCTAGCCATATGTAGAAAGCTGAAACTGGATCCCTTCCTTACACCTTATACAAAAATCAATTCAAGATGGATTAAAGATTTAAACGTTAGACCTAAAACCATAAAAACCCTAGAAGAAAACCTAGGCATTACCATTCAGGACATACAGGTGTTTATATCCTTTTTTTTTTTTTTTTTTTGAGATGGAGTCTCACTGTCTCCCAGGCTGGAGTGCAGTGACGTGATCTCGGCTCACTGCAAGCTCCGCCTCCTGGGTTCACGCCATTCTCCTGCCTCAGCCTCCCGAGTAGCTGGGACTATAGGTGCCTGCCACCACGCCCGGCTAATTTTTTTTTGTATTTTTAGTAGAGACGGGGTTTCACCGTGTTAGCCAGGATGGTTTCAATCTCCTGACCTCGTGATCCGGCCGCCTCGGCCTCCCAAAGTGCTGGGATTACAGGCATGAGCCACCGCGCCCGGCCAGGTGTTTATATCCTTGCACTTAACAATTTCTCATGATATATTTTCAGGTAAATAAATGTTATTTTACAACATCATTTTTAATGATGGCATAGAATTTCTGTGTATAAAGGTACCATAGAATATTTAACCATTTTCTACATTTAGCATTTGGACTGTTTTCAATAAACAGCACTATGGTAAACATTTTCAGCTAAATATCTGTTTCCTTAGGATTAAAATTTCCTTTTGGTCAATTACTAGATATAAAAATGCTGGTCCAAAGCACATACATATTTTTAAGGCAGTTGATAATTAGGGTGGCAGCATTTTCTGAAGAAACCTTTAGCTATTAATGACATCTCACCTGGGTTTTTGCAACAGACAACTAACTCGAGAGAAAAATTTTACTAAGAAAATGTTGCAAGTCACTCTATTTTGTACAGAAAAAAAAATAGTGGAATCTTTTGGTTTTCAAATGAATGTTTGGTTTCAGGTTAAGTTGAGTATGCCTATAGGAGATATGTTTTAAAACGAAGGAATAATCTGGGCCCGTTGATCATTGGAAGAATATAGGCACACCAGAAATGCAGAGGGCACTTTAGTGCAAGGGATTGTCCTGGACTTTGTCCTGAGCCACCCAGGATGTTAGAAGTCCCACACTATTGAGTGGGGTCATTGACAGTGACTGGCAACATGACATGAAACTCTCTTCCTGGTTAATCTTTTCTTTTTCACTTCATTGAAGGGCATGAAGCTGCTCAAGAGTCAAATATCAAATCAAGCCTGTACAAACCACCACAAGCTGAGTAAATTCATTTGTGATTTTTTAAAACAAAAACGCCAGGTGTGACTCAGCACTCCAAAAAATCCAGTGTGCACTCAATATAAAGGAGCTTTGTTGAAGAGTCAAGAAAGAAACAAGACTTCTGGTTTTGGCTCGGCATGTAAGGAGCTTAGAAGTCACCATTCCATCCAAAGAACAACTAAACAGCAAAGAGAACAAAGAATGAAAAAAAAGAACAGCAGAGAATATTCAAGAACTGTGGGACAACTATAAAAGGGGTAACATATGCATAATGGGAATACCAGAAAGAGAAAAAGAGAGAAAGGAATGGAAGAAATATTCAAGTAATAATGACTGAGATTTTTCCAAATTAATGTCAGACACCAAACCACAGATTGAGGAAACTCAGAGAACACCAAGCAGGGTAAATGCCACAAACAAACAAACAAACAAAAAACTCAACAATGAGGCATGTCATATTCAAACTGCAAAAAATTCAAAGGTTAAAAAAAATCCTGAAAGAAGCAAGAGGAAAAAAAATACTTTACCTATAGAGGATAAAAGACAAGAAATATAGCCAACTTTGTCCTTGCAAATAAGAAGAGAGTGAAGTGAAATATTTAAAGTATTTAATGAATATTAAGTAAAGACAATATTTATATTTATTTGTAAGATATAACAAATATAACAAATATGTTTATATTTATTTGTAAGATAAATATAACAAATATGTTTATATTTATTTGTAAGATTAATATAACAAATATGTTTATATTTATTTAAATATAATATGTAATAATGCATACATAAATGATAGATAATATTTACATTTATTTGTAATAAATAAATATTAAATAAATAAAAACATTTGAAAATGTTTAAAATACATTGGAAAGAAGGAAAATATGTCAGAAATTTGAATATACATAAAGAAAGGAAGAGCAGCTTCCTTTATAGCAGCTTTATTCATAATTGTCAGACTTGGAAGCAACCAAGACGTACTTTAGTAGCGAAATGAAAGAGTAAACTATAATGCATTCAGCCAATGTAATTTTATTTAGCACTAACAGGAAATGTGCTATCAAGCCACAGAAAGACATGGAGGAGCCTTAGAGCATATTTCTGAGTGAAAGAACTCAATCTGAAAGTTACATACTGTATAATTCTAACTATATGACATTCTGGAAAAGGCAAAACTATGGAGATAGTAAAAAGATCAGCGGTTGACAGGATTTGAAGGAGGAGAGAGATGATTTGGCGGAACATAGAAAATTTTTAGGACAATGAAAATACTCTGTATGGCACTGTGATGGTGGATTTCTGTCATTTACATTTTTTGAAACCTGTAGAATTACACCAAGCATGAAGATTGATGTAAACTGTGATAATAACATGCTAATGTAGATTTGTAGTAAAGGTACCACTCTGGTAGGGGATGTGATAATAGGAGGAGCTTTGCATGTTTCGGGTGGGTGTGCATGGGAAATCTCTGCCTTCCCCTTAATATTGCTGTGAATCTAAAACTGCTCTAAAAAAATTAAGTATTTAAAACAAGAGAGACAGAAAGACAGGAGAGAACAATATGTAGTAGAACAAGTGGAGGACTCAGAAAAGAAAGGCTGGGGCAGTGGCCTGGGCAGGAAAGTAGAGAAAAGCTATAGTCCCATTTTCAGTGGTCACAAAGAATTACTGGGAAGTGGAAGGGAAGGGTGCACATGTTTATCTTAATTTTATTCTGGAGTTAGTTAAAATGCACTTACCCACACTTTAACAAAGAGAAATGGTTAAATCAATAAACTAAATATGTGCCTTAAACACAGAACACAGAAAATGTAGGTGCTCAGCTCAGGTCCCAGGTGAACACCAGGTAAATAATGGAAAAACTCTCAGAGGTAGAGGGGCTGGAGAAGGAGACAGTGTTGAGGTGTTTGCATATATTCTTTCTAATGTCAATTGACTTCACTCCTCTTCCCTTTCCTACTCCTCACCAGGAAAGAGACCACTATAATGGTCAAATAATTCTGTGTTCCCTTTCTGCACACACTCAACAAAAATGCACACTGCCCTGTTGAGATCTCTCTTCACTGCAAGGCCTAGAGGAGACCATGCTTAATAAGCCGGGAGTCAGGGCCCTGCCCGAGCTGTCATAAAACAAGATGAAAGCCTAGGATACTTTAAATAAGAGGAATGTGGGGGGCACAAAACAGACTGAAATACTAAAGGAAAGCAATAGAAAAACAAAAGAAAACAAACAAAAACAGAACTGAGACAACAAAAGTTGAAAAAATATGTTTTTTTTACAAATCACAGTTGTATTAAAAATATCTTCCCTAGAGAAATTTTGGGGAATATTAATATCTTTTACATAAGGAGTTTCTATCAGCCAATCAATATTTTCTAAACCTAACACTTCTTAATTTACAATTAAATGACAAAGACAAGCCAGTGATTTGGGATGCTTCTTTTATAACAAAATAGAGTATGATTGGTAACTTGTTACATTTAATGATAATGATAGCTTATATTAATTGAGAACTTGCGAAGTGCCAGGAATAGCATTAAATACTTAACATATGTTAACTTATTATCCCATTTTAGAGATGAAAAAACTGTGTCACTGAGACTGAAGTAAATTACCCAAAGACTCATCCTGTGGATGATTGGTAGAGCAGGGCTTTGAACCCAGGCACTCTGATGCCAGCATGCATGTTTTTAACCCTGTACTGCCCTGGCTTCCATGTGGAACAGCGTCACTGGAGTGGAAAGAGCTGATCAACTCACTATGCACAATCTTCAGTAATGTTCTGTAGAGTTTTTTTTTTCAATGAACATAAACTGGTCTTCTATGAAAAAGATCTTTACAAAGATTTACAGCACATTGCTGGTTCCAAAATGCCAGCTTAATAAAGGCAGTTGTGCAGAAGTGCTTTGATGATATCTGTATGAATAAAAGAAGTATTTTTATGATTTGACTCCAAAGAACACAAATCCTTTAAGCTTGTTTAGATCTTCCATGAAGAATGTTGACTTCTACCAATAATCTTTTAAAAAACGAATTCCATTTTAAATATTCAAATAACTTACTCTAAAAATATAAGAACTAAAAAAGTAGTTTTTTTAAAAAATGAACCTACTGGAGTTGTCTTGAAAACAAATGAACAACAGGACAAAAATATAGAAGGTTTCTTTGTGTTCTTCACGTTGAGGCAGACTCCTTCATAGTTCTTAGCAACAAGCATAATGTTCTTAAGAAGTGTGTATCTATCAGATAAGAAAGTATAAAACTAAGGGCAATAATGCAAGAGCAAGACCAGAAGACACCATAGAGCCGTCGGCTTGTATGTTCTGTGGGGGTTGATTATCCACATCAAAGCTTCCAAGTCTTCTGGTTCCTCCTCTTAGGACTGTGTGATCTTGTGCTAGGTTGACAACAATGATGAACAAACATCAGGTCTGACATTGCCAGTCTCGATTTTTACAGAAGTCCCGTCCTGACAATTGCAACACACTCCTGCTTCCCTTTGTACATAGGTAGGATAATGCATTTCTATTTGACTGGAATGTATATTCTCAGTCTCTTCTCACCAGCCTAGGTATTAGCTACTCGGCGGACACATAAGTAACTGTGAGGTGGAATGTGAGATCTCACACAATGCGCACCTTTTAAAATAGTCATGGTGACAAAATTCAATAACAATTTTCTAGGTTGGGGTGGAAAATATTTTCAGAGAAGAATAACGACAGCTAAAACAAAAGGTAGACAGCCGATTTATAATCTAGAGCAATGCACCAGGGCAGGAGAAACACCAGGGTCAGGGAAGTGTTCTGTTCTCCTTTCTCTTTCCCTCTCCTAAAGACAACACTGAAACTCAGTAGCCACATCTATCTTTTCTTTAAAGCACCAGGGTCAGAAACAATATAGGAGAAACAGAGTAGGAGGTTTGTTAAGAGACGACAGAGTCTTTGGAAGGCTCCTGGAAAATAGGAAATACTTCTTGACATTAATTGATCTTTTTCCAAAATCTTCATTATATTTACCTCAAAAGTGCTATATGGTTCTCTTGCACCTGTTTTCAAGATAATAGAGCTTTGGGCAATGATCTCCTAGTCAGTCACCCCATATCGACAACTATTGCTGCACAACTCCCAACTCCTTAGGAAAGGGCTGTGCATGGTAAAGTCATTCACACCCAAATTCTAACAGTAGATGTCAGCACTAGCCTTGCTCATTTAGTTTCACATATGTTTTAGGGAATCAGAATTCAAACTGTTATTTGTTCAATGGCAACATCTTAAGGACAGGAAATATCTAAAATATTATTTTGAAAGAAAATAGATAATTATATGCTTGCCATAAAAATTGAAATTTTCTCTTGGGAATGAAGAATTTGGAGAGGCTGCCCACATTTATGTAGACATGTTGAAATGTAAATTGAAAACCAAGCCTACTTTTAGATAGTTTTTATTCCTCATCAAACTCCCAGACGAATCTATTTGTTATAACATTCCTGAAGAAAGTAACAGATAGTGCTTGAAGTTAAAGAGGGAAAATTCTTATCTTATCGTATAAAATTTACATCTGAAGGCTTGACAGAGTTAGCTTTAATTATGCTTTTTTAAAAACAGACTTTACAGAGCCCGGGTGTGGTGGCTCACCCCTGTAATCCCAGCACTTTGGGAGGCAGAGGCAGGCGGATTCCTTGAGGTCAGGAGTTTGAGACCAGCCTGGCCAAGATGGTGAAAGCTCACCTCTACTAAAAAATACAAAAATTAACTGGGTGTGTTGGCGTGGGCCTGTAGTCCCAGCTACTAGGGAGGCTAAGGCAGAAGAATCGTTTGAACTCTGGAGGCAGAGCTTGCAGTGAGCTGAGATCATGCCACTGCACTCCAGCCTGGGAGACAGAGGGAGACACTGTCTCAAAAAATAAAATAAAATAAAAATAGACTTTATTTTTTAAAGCAGTTTTAGGTTGACAGCAAAGTTGGGCAGAGGTACAGAGATTTCCCATGTACCCCTTGCCCTCCCACACATACAGTCTCCCCAGCTATCAACATCCCCCACCAGGGTGGTACATTTGTTACAATTGATGACCTGTATTGAAGCATCATTATCTCTCAAAGCCCATAGTTATATTAGTCTTAGCTCTTGGCGTTGTACATTTTATGAGTTTTGATAAATATGTGATACGTACTCCCCATTGTAGCATCATAGAGAGTAGTTTTACTGCCTTAAAAATCCTCTGTGCTCTGCATATTCATCCCTCCTGTCCCCCTAACTCTTGGCAACCACTGAACCTTTTTGAATGTCTCCATATTTTTGTCTTTTTGAGGATGTCATATAATTGGAATTATACAATACATAGCTTTTTCATTGACTTACTTCATTTACTAATATGCATTTAAGTTTCCTCCCTATCTTTCCATGGCTTGATGGCACGTTTCTTTTTTTGTTCTAAAAAAAATTTCATTGTCTAAATGAACCACAGTTTCCTTATCCATTCACTTACTGAAGGACATCTTGGTTGCTTCCAAGTCTGGAAATTACAAATAAAGCAGCTATAAACATCTGTGATTCAGGTTTTTGTGTGGACACAAGTCGTCAGCACATTTGGGTAAATATCAAGGAGTATGATTGTTGGATTGTACGTTAAGAGTCTCTTTAGTCTTACAAGAAACTGACAAGCCATCTTCCAAAGTGGCTGTACCATTTTGCATTCCATCAGCAATGAATGAGACTTTTTGTTGCTTCATATTCTTGCCAGCACTTTGTATTGTCAGTGTTCTGGGTCTCTGGCCATTCTAACAGATGCTTATTGCCATCTCATTGTTTTAATTTGAATTTCCCTAATGACATGATGTGGAATATCTTTTTATGTCCTTATTTTCCATCAGAATATCTTCTTTGGTGAGCTGTCTGTTAAGATCTTTTGTCCACTTTTTAATTGAGTTGTTTTCTTGTTGTTTTTATTGTATTGAGTTTTGAGAGATCTGTATATATTTCAGACAGCAGTTATTTATCAGATATGTCTTTCACAAATATTTTCTTCCAGATTGTGAATTGCCTTTTCATTCTTCTGACAATGTCTTTCACAGAGCAAAGGTTTTTAGTTTAATGAAGTCCCGTTTATTCATTCTTTCTTTTATAGATTGTGTCTTGGTGTTGTATCTAAAATGATATCACCACACCCAAGTCATCATTTTCCCCTATGTTATGTCCTAGGAGTTTTATAATTTTGCATTTTACTTCGTGTCTCTGATCCATTTTGAGTTCATTTTTGTGAGGGTGCAAGATCTGGGTGTAGATTCATTTTTATGCATGTGAACATCCAGTTGTGCCAGCATCATTTGTTGAAAAGACTCTTTGCTCCATTGTATTGCCTTTGCTCTTTTGTCAAAGATTAGCTGACTATATTTATGTCGGCATATCTCTGGGCTCTCTATTCTGTTTCTCTGATGTATTTGCATATTCTTTCACCAGCACCACACTGCCTTGATTGCTATAGCTTCATGGTAATTTCTGACATTGCATAGCATCAGTCCTCTAACTTTGTTTTTCTCCTTCAATATTGTGTTGACTATTCTAGATCTCCAAAAAAATAGAATCTTTTTTATCAATAGTTACAAAATAACATGCTGAAACTTTGGAATTGCATTGTGTCTATAGATCAAGTTGGAAAGAACTGCCATTTTGACAATATTGAATTTTCCCATCAAAGAACAGTAATACCTCTCCGTTTATTTAGTTCTTTCATTTCTTTCATCAATGTTCTCTTCATATAAATCTTGGACATATTCAGTTAGATTTATATCTAAGTATTTAATTTTGGAGCTGTTAATGTAAATAGTATTATGTTTTTTCTTTCTTTTTTCTTTTTTTTTTTTTTGAGATGGAGTCTTGCTCTGTCACCCAGGCTGGAGTGCAGTGGCGTGATCTCGGCTCACTGCAAGCTCTGCCTCCCGGTTTCACGCCATTCTCCTCCCTCAGCCTCCAGAGTAGCTGGGACTACAGGTGCCCGCCACCACGCCCGGCCAATTTTTTTTGCATTTTTAGTAGAGACGGGGTTTCACTGCATTAGCCAGGATGGTTTCGATCTCCTGACCTCGTGATCTGCCCACCTCAGCCTCCCGAAGTGCTGGGATTACAGGCGTGAGCCACCATGCCTGGCCAATAGTATTATGTTTTCTTTCTCTCTTTCTTTCAAGACAGAGTCTCATTTTGTTGTCAGGCTAGAGTGCAGTGGTGCAATCACAGCTCCCTGCAGCCTCAACCATCCAGGCTCAAGCTATCCTCCCACCCCAGCCTCCCAACTAGCTGGAACCACAGACATGTGCCAACACATCCAGCTAATTTTTGCATTTTTTTGTAGAGATGGTGTTTTGCCATGTTGCCAAGGGCTGCTCCTGGAGTTGTGCACAGTGAACCTCCAGTAATTTGTCTGTTACAACTTAGGTTTTCCTGCCTCAGTACTGGTTCTGGAGGTGGTTTCTGCCTTGGTAAGTTGTGATTTTATGTATTAATCTGTCTGTTTCTTTAGTTGTTGGTGCAGGTATTTGCCGTGGGACATCACTTCTCCGATGGACCAAGAAGACACATGTAAAAATTGTTCATTTTTCTGTTTGTTCTGCTTCTTACTTGTCAAGATGAGTGATGATGTCCAAGCTCCTTACATGCAGGACCAAAAACTAGAAGTCCTAATTATTATTTTAAAGCATTCACCTTTCCCTCATTTCAAGTCTGTATTGTTGAGAACTATTTACTTTGAGAGGTATTCTCACAATACCAAGTTCTTTAGCTCCTTTATTTTATAGAGTATTTATTAGCGATAGAAGGCTAACAGTCCATTAATGTTGAAAGTGGTCTTAGAAACCATCCAGTCCAATCCATATTTTTAAGGTGAAAATGAGGTTCAGAAAAACTAAGCGACTTGATCAAGGTCATTGAAAGCTAAATTTGGTCAGTCTTGTGCTTTTTCCCACCACATTCCACATCTCTCAATTTTAAATTGCTTAATTTGCAGATCTCTGTAGTAGGAATGAGTGTTTACATAGTCTGCTGTTGTAAGTGGAAGTTTGGCTTAATTTCCAAAAACATCTGATTAAAAACAGTTTTGTATGGTGAGGTCTACTGTTTGATTACTCATTGTGCCTCCACCTCAGTTTTGTAGTGATATCAATCCTGCCTCCCTCAAGTTACAGAGGATGGTGACCCCATTCTCTAGGCAGATTCTGTTCAGTCTAAGCCCAGGCTGGAAACCCTGTTTTCTTTCCAGTGCTTAGCTTAGGAATAAACATGTGACCTAATTTGGGACATTGGGACATAAGAGAAAATCTACTGAGGGGCTTCTGGAAGAGGTTTCTTTGTTCCTAGGAGATAAAAACAATAAAAGATTGTTTCCTGGATGTTGCCACATCTGGATGTGAGGCCTAGAGCTCCTGCAGCTGATTTGGGACTATAAGTGGAGCTAGCTGGAGGGCAAATGGCGAACAGTAAAGAAGATGGATGGGGAGATGGGAACAACCCAGATCTTGAGGACATTGCTAAGCTGCTAGACTTCCTTCACCTTAGATGTTAAATTACCTTATTGTTTGAACCAGTTTAACTTGCCATTTTATGTTACAGCCAGCCAAAGTTAGCCTAACAGAAACAGCTATCAAATGCATATTATCTTATTTCCAAGTTTACTTTAAACATATACTTTGCTTAAATTTAATATAAACCTAATACCTAAACATAGTGTCTGGCCCATAATAGTAATATTTTCCGAGGAATCTAAGTACTGTCTAATTTCTATGCCTACAAATTATGACCATAGTTCTCTGTTCTTCAAGGTCCAGATGTTACAATGTGATGACCTACTCTCCCATATAGGCCTGCCAATTTGGGATTGTTTAGTATATTTTTAAAATCTGAACTAAATGACTTTAATCGACAAGTTCTCCTTACAGTTTGCTGTCATCTTGTGATCTACTGCTTTACTTTACACATTTATGTTACTTGCTGGACCCTTGAGGTATCTGTATTTAAGACCCTGTTAAACTGCTCTGTGCAGAGATAAAAAAAAAATCTCCAACCTCAATGCCCTTTACTCCAACTAGTTTCAAACATTATAGGTAGCTCAGAAATTCTGTATCTCCAGACACTAGGGTTTGTATAGGCCAGTGCTTCTCAATCCTGGCTGCAAATAAGAATCAGCTGGGGAGAATTTGAAGTCCTGATGTCCAGGCACCATCCCAAAGGAAGTAAGTTAGAATCTCTGGGAATGGTACTTAAAAAAATTTTTTAAATACTTTTAATTTTGAAATAATATGAAACTCACAAAAAAGTTACAAAAAATATCAAGAATTTCTGTATACAATTCATCCAGATTCTTCTTTCTATCTTTATCATGTTCTTTGTCTCTGTGTGTGTGTTTGTCTCTCTCTCTCCCTGTGTCTCTCTAGAATACTTTTCTCTATACACACATATTGTTTTCTGAAACATTTGAGAGTAAGTTGAAGACATGACACTACTTCTAAATATTGTATTGGGCATTTCAGTGTATATTTCCTAAAGCAGGGGTCCTCAACCCTCCTGCCACAGACCTGTACCCAGTCCGTGGCTTGTTGGGAACTGGGCTGCACAGCAGAAGGTGAGTGGTGGGTGAGCGAGCATGACTGCCTGAGCTCCGCCTCCTGTCAGATCAGCAGCAGCATTACAGTCTCATGAGTGTGAACCCTATTGTGAACTGCACATGTGAGGGATCTAGGTTGAACGCTCCTTATGAAAATCTAATTCCTGATGACATGAGGTGGAACAGTTTCATCCCGAAACCATCCCCAGACCCCAACCCCAGCCATGTCTATGGAAAAATTGTCTTCCATGAGAGCAGTCCCTGGTGCTAAACGACATTTTCTTACACAATCATAGAACAATTATCAAAATCAAGAAATCAACACTGATACGATTGTGTTATCTAATCCACAAATCTTCAAATTTCTCTAAATATTCCAGTGATATCATTTTCCTGGTCCAGTTTCTAGACCAGGATTCTTGAATTCAAGAGCACCACTGAGTTTAGTTGTTATGACTCTTTAGTCTCCTTTAATGTGGAAACATTCCTCATATTTTTCATGACTGTATCATTTAAAAAAATAATAGACCAGTTGTTTTGTAGAATGTCTCTCAATTTGGGTTTTTAGATGTTTCCTCATGATTCAATTCAGGCTATACATTTTTGACAGGAATATCCCATAAGTGATACTGTGTTCTTAGTGCATCATTACCAGGAGGCAAACGACAGACATTCATCTTTTAAAATCTGCCTTTGTGATTTCAACATGTGCCCAAGGTTGACAACTACTTTGGACAAATATATATGCAAACTTATTTTTCAAGCTGAATGTCTTTTTAACAGATGGAACCAGGAAGTAATTAGGAAAGAATCTTCTAATTCTGCAGAGGACAAATCAAACAAGTCAAAATTTGATGTCAAAATGTTGGGGAGATTGGTGACTTGACAGAGGAAATATAAGAGATGAAGAAGTAATGAACTGTCTTTATATTCTATCCAATTTAAGTCTGTTTCTTAAACTGCTGCTGAATAGGTCAACACATTTGGGTACTTCTCCGTATTATCCAGCCTTATTACTCTGATTAAGCTCCTTCTCTCCTCTGTGTTCTCATGACTGTGATTCTTAGGAGTTGTAATTATCGTACTTTCCCTTGCATTTAAGATACCTATGCAGGGCAGTGGCTCACACCTGTAATCCTAGCACTTTGGGAGGCCAAGGCGGTTGGATCACATGAGGTCAAGAGTTTGAGGCCAGCCAGGACAATATGGTGAAACCTCGTCTCTCCTAAAAAAATACAAAATGTTAGCTGGGCATGGTGGCAGGCACCTGTAATCCCAGCTACTTGGGAGGCTGAGGCAGGAGAATCGCTTGAACCCAGGAGGCAGAGGTTGCAGTGAGCTGAGATTGCACCATTGCACTCCAGCCTGGGCAACAAAGCAATAACTCCATCTAAAAAAAGAAAAAGATACATACTTGTTTTCTCCATTAGGTTGTAAGTTTCCTAGGTGCAGAAAGTTTTTAGTAAAATTTTATCCACATATACCACATAGGTGATTGTAAATTATTAGACACTTAATGAACGCTTGCTGAGATAGATTATAGGATGTTGCTAGCCTGCATTTTCTGCTAGTTTTGAAGAAAATCAGATAAGGTGTGTAGATACAGACTCATGGCAAATAAAGTTGGCCTGAATCACAAATTCAGGTATAAGAAATGCCATATTTCTTTATTTTCAATGGAATAACTTAATTTGAGCTTTATACTGCCAAGTGGTTAAGAAACCTAACTGCAAGCATTCATGGAGCTTCCCACCCCTTGCTTGAGCTCATATTAAGAATTCAGAATTACGAATAGTTCCCAAATACATATAACTGGAGGGGGCATTAAGAGGAGATGGGATCTTCTTCTTCTAGTCTTTGTTTCTTGTCCATACTGATAACTTACTGGTTACATGGGACAGTTTGCTTTAGAAGTAAGCAGGTTTCCAAATTAATCTGCCTTGAGGAGGTCTTGTGATGTCTCAATGGCGACATTTCTCCAAAAAAAGAATCTTAACCAAAGTTCCTCAAATTGTTGATGTGCTGAACAGTGTATAACTGGCTGACACTGAATAGGATGCTGACTCATTTTAAGATGAGCTGAAGCAAGATATTTTACCGATTGTCTTGAATGTAGACATCTTTTAGACTGTATGTTGTCATCTGCAGCTAATGATTGTAACTTCTGTATTGTACCCTCCAATGAAAAGAGGACATCTTTGGTATGAGGAGCCCTTTTTCCTTCTTTTTAAACTTTCCTATAAAAATCTTTCATTTTGTGACAAATTCCAGAACACTCTCAACTTTGTTGGTGTGTCTTCCTGGGTTGATCCTCACATTTGGCTTTTCATAAACCTTTATAACATTATTTCTGCCTCAACAGCCTTAATTTCAGTCAACAATACTTTACTACTGAGATGACAATTATCCTTGTCCCTGTGGTCCATATAGCTTTGATGGCTCTCTGTGGCTTTCATATCCTGGGATTTGATTACGAAGTAAATGATGTCTCTTAACTATCTTGGAGCCCAGGAGAGAAAAATTTGGCTCACAAATATTTTGGCTCACAAACTTGCTTCGATGACAAGCAAACTTTTGACAAAAAACATGGTGCATGCCTTTCAGCAGGCCACGTGCTCTCTAGTTAGTCACAGTCACTGCCACCCCTTACTCTTACACCCATGTGCTTCATACGTTTGCATGACCCTCACGCCCTCGGAGACCTAGGACTTTGCTGTCCCAGCCCTGAGGCTCTACTCCTCTTACTGGTCTTGCTAATTTGCTGGGGTATGCCTCCAGGAGCCAGAGCTTGGATCCTCTTCTGGAAACTACAGACCCCTTTTCTGTCCCTCCACCCTACAGTTTCCCTACAGGGAAGCATCCTTCTAAGCCACTCTGGTTCTTCCTATGCTCTGTTCTCATTCTAACACCTCCTCCTGTATTGGGTCACAATCATCTGCCACTTCTTTATTACTGCATGCTCTCCCCTTCCGATTCCATTTATTTTCTGAAGGAGTAGGTTTTAAAGCTGTCTTTCTCTTTGAATGGGAAGAAAACAAAATAGTAATAAAGATCAGGAGAAAAAAGTTAATATTTCAAATATTATTCCAGCAGAGAGTTAGTTATTCCAGGCTCCTGTGCTGTAGGGTAACAGTAAGCTAATTATTTCAGTCTCTTAGCTGAACTTGTCTATCATCAGATTATGATACTTAGTAAGTAAAATGCACAAGTAGTTTAAAAAGATAGAATACCTTGGAAATACACTTAAAATCCAGTACGCTTTTCATTTTCCCACACATCTATTTTTTTTAATAACCTTCAACAGGTAAAGCTCAAATTTTGCTAACTGTAGAATTAGAGGGTGACCTTGGTGTAAGATAACTGAACTAAAACTCTCACAAGCTTCTCCCTACATAGCCATTATCCCAGCTTTCTCCAAATGGCTAACCAACATTTTATTTCCTTAATCACAGTCTTCCCCTCCAAGGAAAACCTCCACATCATATTCAACTGCTCAAACCACATTTCTACCTCTGTAGATCATATTGGGTTGCACATGTTTTTGAGGACTTTCCTACCCCAGGCCATTTAAATGACATATAAATTACATCTTAAGTATCCTTTCCAATGAACACTTCCTTCTGATTTATTAGAAGATTGTTAACTGTTCCCCATCCTGACCACAGTCTGTCTGAATATGCCACTCACCCAGTTTGGAGGACACTTTAACTAATAACTGTTTTATTTTTGAGATTTCTCCTGCTTCTAACTGAGCTGTCTTTGAGAACAGTCTTGAATTTTGGGGGGAGGGTTGGTGGTGGCAGAAAAGGTGGGTGGCTTACACTCCTGGGTCTCACAGGTGTTTATAGGATGCCTAAAACATTTCAATAAGTTTCTGGCACATCTGTGGGAGATAGAGCCTCTCCTCTGCTAAGTAGTGGCTGGGGAACCTGGAGCAAGTTCCTACATGTTTCTAAGCCTCAGTTTCTTCTTCTATAAAGTGGGGCAACAGAGCTTCCCTGGGAGAGTGATTTGAGCATTAACAAGACACTTAGAATGCCTCCATCACATAGTGAGCCTCAATTATTATTATTTCTTATGTCTCTAGATTCTCCTGTGCCCCTCAAACCTTCTTTTGCATGCTCAGAGACCCTGTTCCCCTGGGAATGGTTGTCTACTAGGTGGGTTTGGGAGCAGTGTGGCTGGAGCCACAGAGCCAACACTCCCAGCGGAACCTGGGGAAGCTACTTCAACTCTCTGGCCTCAGCTTCCTCATCTGTTGACTTGAGATTTCTTTGCATTTTTCTGAAACTCCATCCACTGCAACATGCTTATCAGATTAAAGGTAGAAGAGGGCACAGTCACATGTTTGGCTTGCTTTGTTAAAAGATCCTAGCGAATTGGGACAGACAGACCAAGCCCTAACAAAACTTTCATAGCTTAGCTATGGTAATATAAACAAAATATTTACTTTGGTTTTTGCCCCTACCTCCTTCCCTTTTCCTTGTTTGGAACTCCTAAATTATATCATTGGAATTTTGGGAAGTTATAAGTGTTTTTTTTGGTATACTAACAAAATGACTGATAGTTGGGGGCTCCCAGATAGCTTCAGGATAAAGGCTGGTTGACAGAGGAACCAATTATATGGTTGGAGGGTTGGAACTTTCAGCCCAATCTTCTGATCTCTGGGGAGAGGAGAGAAGCTGAAGGTTGAGTTGATCACCAATGGCCAATAACTTAATGAATCATTCCTTAATAGTGGAACCTCCATAAAGACCCAAAAGGACTGGGTTCAGAGAACTTCTGGGTTACTGAACACGTGGAAGGTGACATACTCCAAGAAGGCATGGAAGCTCCTTACCGCTTTCCCATACCTTGCCCTCTGCATCTCTTCTATCTGGGTGTTCCTAAGTTAGATACTTCTATAATAAATGGGTAAATGTAAGCAAACTGCTTCCCTGCATCCTGTGAACCACTCTAGCAAATGACTGGGCCCCAAAAAGGGGCAGTGGGAACTCCCAATTTATCGCCAGTTGGTTAGAAATTCTGGAAACCCTACTTGGAATTGGCATCTGAAGTGGGGGGAGTCTTGTGAGACTAAGCCCTTAAACTGTGGGGTCTGACTCTAACTCCTGGTAGACAGTATTAGAGTTGAATTAAATTAAAGGACACCCTGTTGGGATCAGCTGGAGAACTACTTGGTGTGTGGGGAGAGAACCCCACACATCCGATGTTAGAAGTAAAATATTGAGTGTGAAGTATCTCTGTGAGAATAGAACAAACAATTAAATTTTTCAAATCTCTTGCCACTATCTGCTGTCCTCAGCACTAAGACAACCTGGTCTTTAAAAATGAGGGGGGTTTTAGAAGTAGGTAACTCTCTGAAATAGTTGGTGATGATTTGATGGTTCCAGAAAGAATAAGAAAAACACCACATGGAGCCTTATAAGTAGGTATAAGATGAATTCCAAGATAGACCAGGCCAGTTTTGCCACAACACACACCTTCCTGTGTGGTTCACTCCTTCTCTCTTTCTGCTTTAACTAATGTTTCTGTCTTCTCGGTCTTCATTTTTAAGTTTAAATTGTTTGCTCTTTGGCCTGCTCAGCTAAAGCTTGTTTCTCTGTCTGGGTTCATGAATAGGTGTAGCTAATTTGCTTCTAGCTGTTACTAAGTTCCTGTGTGTCTGTCTTGACAAGAAGATTCCTTTGCCATCACTCAATTTAGAGCTAATTGGAGCCTTTCATTTGTGGCCAATTATAACAGTTAATTAAGCTTAGGTAAATTTATTTAATCTTTTTTCATAAAATGAAGAATAACTCGATTTAGTAAAAAAAAAAAATTTCCTTTCTCTCCTATTATCAACAGCTTGAAGACACTATGAAATAGTGAAGTTACTTATTTTCTTATTCTGAAATTGCAAATAGATTTTCAAACACTTAAGTGCTTCCATTTTGATCCTTTCTGGGATATTCATTTAAATTCCCCAAATGTTTATTGAACCCTACCACTGAATCCTAGTGTGGAAATCTACCAGGGAACCCAACCAAAATATAACATACAGGTTCTGGCCTCAATAGTTAATAACTTTGTAGGGCAGAAGACCATATACACAATTATTAATAGGGGCAGAGTCTATTAAATACCAGAAAAAATTAACATGTATTGCAAAAGATAGACTACAAAGAAAAGGTTAAGTCTAGCTGGGAAGGTGGTGGTGGGTGGTTAGGGAAGACTCAGAGATGAAGGTAGAAGGAAGGGTACAATTTCGGCAGGAAGAAACAGTGATGAGAGTAGAGAAGGCATTTTAGGGGGACACAGCTGACTAGGCCGAGGAGTGGAGGTGGGGAGAGCAGACCTTTCCGGGGAGAGCCCAAGTTAGTTAGATCTTGGAAGGTGAGGAAGGATATTGCTCAGAATGCAGCTTGGACCTTGGTCATGGACAGGGTTGTGTTCATGTCAACTAGTTTATACTTCACTCCATAGCCTGCATGGAGCCACTGAGAGTTTTTAAAAAGAAATAATATTGTCAGAACTGTGCTCAGAGCAGCTTGCTTGGATGATATTGCTTCAAGGGGTGGTTAGCAGGGGTGGGCACATGACAGCCCCGTGGACCAAATCCAGCCCACCATCCGTGAGTTAAGAATAGTTTACATGTTTTACAATGGTTGAAAGAAGTCAGAAGAAGAATAAAATTTTGTGATACATGAAAATTAAGTTTCAGGATCCAGCAATAGAGTTTTATTGGAGCACAGCCACATTCGTTTGCTGATGTATCATCCAGGCTGTTTTTGTGCTACAACAGCAGAGTTGGGTGGTTGCAACAGAGACCATATGGTTCACAAAGCCCCAAATATTTACTATCTGGCTCTTTACAGGAAAAATTTCTCAATTCCTTGTCTAGAAGTCTAGTTTAAAGAAAGCAGACTTTGGACAGCTAGAAATTTCAGGGAAAAAATGTGAAGTACACAGAACTAATACTTGTTTAGCCTTGATACCTGAAATTTTGCTGTTCATTATGGCCTAACAAAGTATTTTTTATCATTCATTTATTGTTCTACTCACCCCAAGCTAGCCAGTTAGTAACAGGTTTACTCTTGCAACCCTAGCCTCCAAAGTAGAAAACAAACAAAAATGCAATCTCTAAGACTAGGCAAAGGCAAAGAAAGCACTACATTTCCTTTCCCTTTGGAAAGTGGAGTGAGTCATGGCTCTTTCACCTGCTATGTCACCATGGGAAAGCCACATAATTATTCATTTTCTCATCTGTAAATTGAGTCAATAAAATCTTTCCTTCCTACTTCACAGAGAATGAAAAAATACAAGATATATTACTCTGTAAATATGTTTCAGTTAAAACATATGAAAAGTAACAGTTGGATTCAACAATTTTTTTGTTTGTTTAGACAGTCTCACTCTGTTGCCTAGGCTGGAGTGCAATGGTGCGATATCAGATCACTGCAACCTCTGCCTCCCAGCAATTCTCGTGCCTCAGCCTCCTGAGTAGCTGGGATTACAGGTGTGTGCCACCATGGCTGGCTAATTTTTGTATTTTTAGTACAGACAGCATTTCACCATGTTGGCCAGGCTGGTCTCAGACTCCTGGCTTCAAGTGATCCACCTGCCTCGGCCTCCCAAAGTGTTGGGATTACAGGCATGAGCCACCATGCCTTGCCTCATTCAACAATTATTGAGCACCTACTATGGGCAAGGCACTACTGTAGGCTTGTGGGAAACACATTAAAAAAAAACACAAAGAATGCCTGCTCTTGTGGGGCCTGTGTTCATTGTTTTGAAAATGTCATTTCACCCTTTCTCTCTTCTATCCCTGTCCCTCTCTGTTGGCAATTCCTATACTATGGAAAATTGTTCTGATCATACTTAATTGTAATGATCTTCTATTGAAGTTATTATATGCTAAATTCAATGGACCCTGCTCTGACACAAGGGTTTTTCTTCTAGTCACCAATTCTGAGGAAGTGAAACTACTATAAATTATCATTAACATTAGAGAGGGGAACCAGGCAGTCATCTTATCCATGGTAAGAATCAATTTAATTTGCCCAGATTTGTTTGAAGTTTTTAGTCATGGAGGATGTAAAGATTCTTTCCTAAATGCAGAAAATTTTAATTTATCTTCACCAATATCAGACAGTAATGCATTATAAAAACTCAGATGGACTTTGTGGAAGCGATCCCAAAAGGCACATTCTAAGATGATGATGCAAAATAACAAGTTATTTAAACAGTCATATGGAAGTATTTTAATAAAATTTACAGTTGAAAGATCACTTCTGCAAAAAAAACCTACTTTTAGATGTACTTCAAATTCTTAATTTGAAAAATATTTTCTATTGTATTTACTTCCTTGATGTGTTTATATATGAAAGTTTATCTCATTTTATAGTGGGGGATGGACACGAAGGTAGAAATTTATCTAAAAAACATATTTTTCTCTAATAAATTGAGATCTAGATTGTGCTAAATTTAAATAGTGATTGTGATGTTTATGAAAGCATGTCTGGAAGGCAGCTGTGTCTGTTGGTCTGGTGCTAAGGAGGAAGATCTGAGCTGCAGCAAGAGATGGACTTGACAATACGGACGTGGATGAGCACAGCAAATCCAGGGAGAGCAGGCAGAGTGAGAAAAGGAGGAAAGCTAGGCTGGAGCCCTGAGTCTGATATTTAGGGGAAGGAAAGGGGAGAATATCCTGAAAAGTGGACTGAAAAGAAGCTGAGAGGTACGAGGAAAGCCAGAAAAACGAAACATTACTGAAATCAAGAGAAGAGAATGTTCAAAGAGAAGCTGGTGGCCTAGAGAGTCAATTCTTGCTGAAATCTGACGTAGGGTCAGGCCTTAGAAGCGTTCTCTGGGTTAGCAATAACAAGTTCGGGGGAGATCTTCCAAACAGCATTCTCAGTGGTATGCTGGGTGCAGCAGCCAGAGTGTGATGAGTGGGAAGTGAGGAAGTGGATGACTATTCAACAAATGGTGTTAGAAAAAGAACTTTTCAAAGGGAGAATCAACAGATGCTCACTAAATGTCTATTATATGGCAAGAGTGTGAAATAAAAACAAACAAGAAACTATGTTCAAGTACTTGTCCTCGAGGAAAATATAAGAGAAGGATGTATTTGAATGCAGCCTAAAGTTCACTGCCATTTTCAGAAATAGAAATGTGAAGAGAAAATTAAAAATACTGGAAAGGGCACTAGTAGAGGTCTAAGAATAGAAGATGAGGACACACACTGGGGAGCTGTGAAAGATAGTCCAGTGTGCCTTGAGCTGAATTTTAGAAAAAAAAAATAGCTAAGATTAACCAAGGCAAATCAGAGAAAGGAAAAGTCTGAAAGAAGGAACGCTGATTAGGAAGCTCCCTGCCATGGGCACGTTTTCATCTGAACACCTTCAAGTTCATCCTGTTTTAAAAGCAATCATCGCCACACCTTAAAACCCCCACCTTCAGCTACATATTTCTATCCAGCCAGTTGTATGCTCTTCTCTTTACAACCAAACACTTTTGTTTGTTTGTTTGTTTTTTATTATACTTTAAGTTCTGGGATACACGTGTAGAACACGAAGGTTTGTTACATAGGTACACATGTGCCGTGATGGTTTGCTGTGCCCATCAACCCGTCATCTACATTAGGTATTTCTCCTAATGCTATCCCTCCTGTAGCCCCCCACCCCCTGACAGGCCCTGGTGTGTGATGTTCCCCTCCCTGTGTCCATGTGTTCTCATTGTTTAATTCCCACTTATGAGTGAGAATATATGGCGTTACAACCAAACATTTTGAAGCGTTTCTCACCCATGCATGCTTATCTCCTTTCAAGGTCCTGTTATTTAACCCAACCTACCTTTTCAGTTATATCTCCAGGTGCTTGTCTGTGGAGGCAGGGCGATGAAAGGGAATGCGGGTTGCTGACCGGGCAGTCACAGCACCTGTCCAAGGCAGGCCTCTGTGGTTCCGTTTGGCAGGAGCTCTCTGCACTCTCCGTTGCTGCTGCCCCCAACCCGCTACTCTTTCCTCCCTCTGATTTAAATGTCATTGGGCTTCCAACCTCTTCAGTCTTCCAGGTATGTTTTGAAACCTTTGTTCAGTGCTGGTCCCCTATGTGTCCTCTTTGCTGTAACGTTTATTTCCTTACTTTGGGGCCTTGGAAGGGTTCAATTTTGTTTTTGAAAATAATCTAAGAGAATACACATAAAGAAGAAAATAGCTTTTTTGAAATCCTCTTATATTCCTAATGGGATACCTTAAAATGGATTTACATTCAATGATTAAATATATCTTCAGTTGTATACATGTTAAGTTCTTCCCTCCTTGGGGTCTTTGCCCTAGCATTCTCTGTCATACTCACCAAGTTCTCTTCTTCCATTGTGGACAAGTATGTTACATTTGGAATGCTCCAATGTTTGTGTATTCCCAATTCTCTTCTCCTCCTATCCTCCAACATATCATTGGGAGGATTAAAGTAAGAAGGTAAAAAAAAGGATGAGGAGGAAATGGGATGATTTGGGCATTTTTTCATTTAGAGAAACATGGAAGTGTATTGATTTATCTAGTTTGTGGTTAACTTCTGGAAAAGTTAGCTAATGGTTGACTTAGTCGGTTTGGGGCGCTATAACAAAATATCCTAGACTAGGTGGCTTATAAACAACAGAAATTTATTTCTAGTCCTGAAGGCTGGGAAGTCCAAGATCAAGACACTGGCAGATTCATTGTTTGGCAAGAGTCCAATTCCAAGGCATCTTTTTACTGTGTTCTCACGTGGCAGATGGGCAAGTAATCTCTCTGGCGTCTCTTTGATAAGGGTGCTAATCCCATTCATGAGGGCTCCACTTTCATGAACTAAATACTTTCTAAATGCCCACCTCCTCATACCATTACCTTGGGGGCTAGGTTATCAACATGTGAACTTTGGGAAGACATAAACATTCAGACCCTAGCATTCTCATTTTTCTCCTTGTCCCCCCACACCAAATACATGACCTTCTCATATGCAAAATACATTAATTCCATCCCAAGAGCCTCAAAATTCCTAACTCATTCCAGCATCAACTCAAAAGTCAAAAGTGCAAAGTCTCATTTAAATAGCAGCTAAATCAGATATGAGTGAGACAGCCTCAGGGTATGATAGATCCTGAGGCAGATTTTTCTTCACCTGTGAACCTGTGAAATCAAATCAAACATGTTATATGCTTCCAAAATACAATAGTAGGACAAGCACAGGACAGATATTCCCATTGCAAAAGTGAGAAATAGGGAAGATAGGGAAGAAGGAAGGAGTGGTAAGTCTTGAGATAATTCCAAACCTAAAGGCTCAAGAATAATCTTCTTGGAGTCATGCTCTGCCTTCCAGATACATTGAAGCTATGGTCCTACCTTCTGGATGCACTCCAGCTGCAGCCCTGCCCCAAGGGTTTGGGCACCCGCAGCCCTGCAGCAGCTCTGTGCCTGGGCCCTGCCCTCATGCAGTTCTCAGTGGTGGCTTCAACTCCTCAGCAGCTGTGTGCCTTGGGTCACATGCCTGAGGCTCTCTGGTGCTGGAATCACTTCCCATTGGTTTTATCAGTCTAGGGTTGCAGGGGCAGCCCTGCACCCATGGCTCCACTGGGCATTGCCCCAACAGAGGCTCTCTGTAGTGACTCTGGGCTCTTATACTCTTGGCTTGTAATGGGAGGAACAGCCTGAGGATTTCTGAATTGCCTGTAGGATCATTCTTCTATTCATTGAACAACAGGTCCTGGCTTCTGTTTAGGTAACTGACTAATCTTCTTGGTCATTTGGCTACACTCTTTGTGTTTTCTCTGGAATAAGCTCTTTTATTCTTTTCACTATGAATAGTCTGGTAATGTTCCAGATCTTTAAGTTCTACTTTTCTTTTAACAATTTTATCTTTACATCCTTTTTCTCTTCTTACATTTACTATAAACAGTCAAGAGAATGCAAGGCACACCCTCAACACTTTGCTTAGACATTTCCTCATCCAAATATTCAGTTTCATCATTCACAAGTTTTACCTTTCATAAAACACTAGGACATGAACACAATTCAACCAAGTCCTTTGCCTCTTTAGAGCAAGGATGGCCTTTCCTCCATTGTCCAATAACATGTTCCTCATTTCCATCTGAGGCCTCCTCAGAAAGGCCTTTGCCATCCATATTTGTGCCAAATTCTGTTCAGGATTATTTAGGTATTCTCTAAAATGATTAAGGCCTTCTCTGCAACTCTCCTCTTTTTTTTTTTTTTCAGAATTATCTTTAACTGTTTGTGGCAATGTAGGCTTTTTCTAGCATGGGTGGCAATAACAAAATGCTTCAGACTGGGTGGCTTATAAACAACAGAAATTTATTTCTCACAGTTGTGGTGGCTGGGAATCCTATTCTAGATTAAGGTGTCAGCATATGTGGTATCTGAAGCGGGTCTGCTTCTTAGATAGTCATCCTTTCACTGTGTCCTACAGGGCAGAAGGGTGAGTGATCTCTTGGGAGCCTCTATCATAAGGGCATTAAGCACATTCATGAATGCTTTTATCTCATGACCAAAGGCCCTACTTCCTGATACCATCACCTTGGGAGTGTTTATTTTAACATATAAATATTGTGGGGACACAAACATTTGGATCATAGCAGTCAGTGAGAAAAGAAATGAGATTGCAGCCCCCACTGTCTTTCTCACATCAAGCCCTGAATCATTCGAGTGCGCGCGTGCGCACGCGCGCGCGCGTGTGTGTGTGTGTGTGTGTGTATTTGCTTACTAGCCCTAGAGAAGAAAGGATTCCAAGGCTGTTGATGTCATAATGCCAAAATATCCAGATGAAAAAGTCCAATACTTGTGCAGATGTTTCAAACACATAATGCTGAATATCGCAATTTATGGAAACATTCAGTGATGATTCTTTTTTTATTTTGTTCTTGATGTTTTGGCAAGGTACAGTTGCAGCCTGATTTGCTGAGTTTAAGAGCCAAAATCACATTTTCTGTCTAAGATTATCAGATTGATACTCTAGAAAGGGTTTCTTCATAACCTAAAGATGTATACTTTCTTCTCTTAGAGTACTCATCTAACATAAATAATTTTTCTCGCTTCTATTACTTTTTAATTCAACCAGAACAGATAAAAAAGATCAATAACACAAACAAATCCTCAGAAATTGCTATGAAAATAAACAAACATGTATTACTAAAAACAAATGGTGTAAGTTGGGACAAAATTTTAAAGTAGAAATAAATGGTCCTAAGAAATTTTTTTAGGAAGTTGTGAATTGTTTTCTCATATAAACATATTAAGAATTAATAACACAGCCTCTCTCAACTATGATCCATTTCAAGAATGCTGTGAGTTGGCTCCAACTATCCAGGTCCTCAAATATCTGACACCCTGATTCCACAGTCGGATCTTGTACCAGAGGAACGTGACACCAGAGTTCTATTTGGAACTCTGAGTTTCATTAATCCTACTCAGCCTCATATCCATGTCATGCTGGGTCACTGCCCAGACTGCTTGCCTTTGTGGTCATCTGTCTTCTTCCTTATGCCCCAAACTGTTCTTGGTTTTCTGTCCTCTGACTCATCCTTCCAACAGTCTCCTCCTATCTGAATCCTTAATTATTTGTGGGGAAGCAAGGAAAAGAACAAAAGTTCCTCAGTCCTTTTTAATTTTTAATTTTTGTGGGTACATAGTAGACATATCTATTTATGGGGTATATGGGATATTTTGATACAAGCATACAAGGTGTAACAATCACATCAGGGTAAATGGGGTATCTATCACCTCAAGCATTTATCCTTTGTGTTACAAACAATCCAATTATATCTCTCGTTAATTTTAAATGTACAACTAAATTATTGTTGACTATTAGTGACCCTGTTGTGCTATGAACTACTACATCATATTTACTCTATTTTTTTGTACCCATTAACCATCCTCACTTCTTATCTCCCCATAACACCGTCAGCTCTGATAACCATCATTCTACTCTCTACCTCCATGAGTTCAATTGTTTTAATTTTTAGCTCCCACAAATAAGTGAGAACATATGAAGTTTGTCTTTCTGTGCCTGGCTTATTTCATGTAACGTAATGACCTCCAGCTTCATCCATGCTGTTGCAAATGACAGATCTCATTCTTTTTTGACTGAATAGTACTCCATTGTGTATATGCACCACGTTTTCTTTATTTGTCTGTTGATGGACACTTAGGCTGCTTTCAAGTCTTGGCTATTGTGAATAGAGCTGCAATAAACATGGGAGTGCAGATATCTCTTCGATATTGCTTTGATTTGCTTGCTTTTGGGTATATAGCTAGCTGTGGGACGGCTGGATCATACGGTAGTACTATTCTTAGTATTTTGAAGAACATTTAAACTGTTCTCCTCAGTGGCTGTACTAATTTACATTTCTATCAACAGCATACAAGGGTACACTGTTTCTTCACATCCTTGCTGGCATTTGCTATTGCCTGCCTTTTGGATAATAAACCTTTTTAACTGGGGAGAGATGATATTTCAATGTAGTTTTGGTCTGCATTTCTCTGATGATCAATGATATTGGTTATCTTTCCATGTACCTGTTTGCCATTTGCATGTCTTCTTTTGAAAAATGTCTATTCATATTTTTAGCCCATTTTTAAATTGGATTATTAGATTTTTTTCCTACAGAGTTGTTTGAGTTCCTTATGTATTCTGGTTATTAATCTCTTGTCAGACAGATAGTTTGCAAATATTTTCACCGATTCTGTGATTGTCTCTTCACTTTGTTGATTGTTTCCTCTGCTGTGCAGAAGCTTTTTAACTTCATGTGATCCCATTTGTCAATTTTTGCTTTGGTTGCCTGTGCTTGTGAGGTATCACTGAAAAAATCTTTGCCCAGACCAATGTCCTGGGGAGTTTCCCCTAAGTTTTCTTGCAGTAGTTTCATAGTGTGAGGACTTAGATTTAAGTCTTTAGTCCATGTGGACTTTATTTTTGTGTATGGTAGGAGATAGTGGTCTAGTTTCATTCTTCTACATAGGGATATTCAGTTTTCCCAGCACCATTTATTAATGAGACTCTCCTTGCCCCAGTGAAAGTTTCTGGCAACTTTGTCAAAAAATAGTTCACTGTAGATGCATGGATTTGTTTCTGAGTTCTCTATTCTGTTCCATTCATCTATGTGTCTGTTTTTATGCTAGTGCCATGCTGTTTTGGTTACTGTAGCTCTTTAGTATAACTTGAAGTCAGGTAATGATTCCTCCAAAACAAAGACTCTTGTTCTTTTTGCTCATAACTTTGGCTATTCTGGGTCTTTCATTATTTCATATAAATTTTAGGATTTTTTTCTGTTTCTGTGAAGAATGTCATTGGTATTTTGATAGGGATTGCATTGAATTCATTGATTGCTTTGAGTAGAATAGACATTTTAACAATATTGATTTTTCCAATTCATGAACATGGAATATCTTTCAATTTTTTATGTCTTCTTCAATTTCTTTAACCAATATTTTAGTTTTCACTGTAAAGATCTTTCACTTCTTGGGTTAAGTTACTTCTTGGGTATTTAATTTTATTTGTAGCTATTTTAGAAGGGTTTACTTTCTTGATTTCTTTTTCAGATTGTTTGCTGTTGGCGTATAAAAATGCGACTGATTTTTGTATTTTAATTTTGTATCCTGCAACTTTACTGAATTTATCAGTTCTAATAGTTTTTTGGTGGAGTCTTTAGGTTTTTCCAAATATAAGATTATATTATCTGCAAACAAAGGAAATTTGACTTCTTTCTTTCCAATTTGGATGCCTTTTATTTCTTTCTCTTGTCCAATGGCTCTGGCTAGGACTTTCAGCACTGTATTGAATAACAGTGATGACAAGTAGGCATCCTTGTAGTGTTGCAGATCTTAGAGGAAAGGCTTTTAGTTTTTCCTCATTATGATACTAGCTGTGGATCTGTCATATATGGCTTTTATTATGTTGAGGTATGTTCCTTCTATCCCCAGTTTTTTGAGAGTTTTTATCATGAAGTGATGTTGAATGTTATCAAATGCTGTTTCAGCATCAGTTGAAATGATCATATTCTTTCTGCTTTTCATTCTGTTGTTATGATGTATCACATTGATTAACTAGCATACATTGAACCATCCACACATCTCTGGCATAAATCTCAGTTGGCCATGATGAATGATCTTTAGTGTGTTGTTGAATTTGGTTTGTTAGTATTTTGTTGAGGAATTTTGCATCAATGTTTACCAGAGATATTGGCCTGTAGTGTTCTTTGTTTCATGTATTTTTGTCTGGTTTTTGTATGCAGTTAATACTGGCCTCATAGGATGAGTTTGGAAGTATTCCCTCCACTTCTATTTTTCAGAGTAGTTTGAGTAGGATTGATATTACTTCTTACTTAAATGTTTGTTAATATTCAGCAGTGAAGCCATCAGGCCTGGACTTTTTCTTTGCTGGGAAACTTTATTATGGCTTTGATTTTGTTACTTGTTATTGGTTTGTTCAGGCTTTGGATTTCTTCATGGTTCAATCTTGGTAGGTTGTATGTGCCTAAGAGTTTATCCATTTCTTCTAGGTTTTCCAATTTATTGGTATATAGCTGCTCATAGTAGCCTCTAATGATCTTTCAAATTTCTGTGGTATCTAATGGTAATGTCTCCCTTTTTATGTCTGTTTTTTTATTTTTAATTTTGGTCTTCTCTACTTTTTTTTTAGTCTGGCTAGAGGTTTGTCAAATTTATTTACTTTTTCAAAAAACCATCTTTTCACTCCACTGATCTTTTGTATTGTTTTCTTTGTTTTAATTTCATGTTATTTTTGCTTTGACCTTTATTATTTCTTTTCCTCTACTAACTTTGGGTTTGGTTTACTCTTGCTTTTCTGTTTCTTTAAGAAGCATCATTAAGTTGTTTATTTGAAGTTTTTCTTTTTTTTTTTTTTTTTGATGTTGGTACTTATAGCTATACACTCGCCTCTTAGCATTGCTTTCACTATATCCTATCCAATAGGTTTTTGTACTTTGTGTTTCCATTATCATTTGTTTCAAGAAAATTTTCAATTTCCTTCTTAATCTCTTCAGTGACTCACTGGTCACTCAGGAGCATATTGTTTATTTTCCAAAATTCTTCTTACTAATTTCTACTTTTATTCCATTAGGATCAGAGAAAATATTTGATACTATTTCAATTTTTAAAGAATGTTTAAATACTTGTTTTCTGGCCTCCCATATGGTCTGTCCTTGAGAATGATCCATGTGTTGAGGAGAAGAATGTGTATTCTGCAGCTGTTGGATGAAATATTCTATAATATCTATTAGGTTCATTTGGTCTATAATGCAGATTAAACCTGATGTTTCTTTGTTCATTTTCTGTCTGAATGATTTGCTCAATGCTGAAAGTAGGGTGTTGAAGTCTTCAGTTATTAATTTATTGGGGTCTCTCTCTCTCTCTTTAGCTCTAATAACATTTGTTTTATATATCTGAGTGCTCCTGTGTTGGGTACATATATGTTTATAATTGTTATATCCTCTTGCTGAATTAATCCCTTTATCATTATGTAATGATCTTCTTTGTCTCTTTTTAGAGATTTTGTCTTAAACTCTATTTCTCTAATAGAAGTATAGCTATTCCTGCTCTTTTTTGGTTTCCTCTGGCATGGAACATCTTTTTCCATCCCTTTATTTTCAATTTCTGTGTGTCTTTACAGGTGACATGTGTTTGTTGCTGGTAACTGATCACTGGGTCTTGTTTTCTAAATTTGTTTAGCCACTCCATATCATTTGATTGGAGAGTTTAGTCCATTTACATTTAATGTTATTATTGATAAGTAAGGACTTACTCCTGGCCATTTTGTTATTTGTTTTCTGGTTGTCTTATGGTCTTCTCTTTCCTCTTTCCTTCCTTCTTGCCTTCCTTTTAGTGAAGGTGATTTTCTCTCGTGGTATGTTTTAATTTCTTGCTTTTTATTTTTCATGTATCTGTTGTATGTTTTTAGATTTGAGGTTACCATGAGACTTGGAAATAATATCTATAACTCATTATTTTAAACTGATGACAACTTCACACTGATTGCATAAACAAAGTAACAAATAAGCAAAAAGAAAACTAATACAATTCAACACTTTAATTTCACCTTTCTGCTTTTTATGTTTTTGTTGTTTCTATTTATATCTTATTCTATTTATATTTCTATTTCTTGAAGTTGTTGTAGTTATTATTTTAATGAGTTCATTTTTTTCACCTTTCTACTTAAGATATGAGTAGTATACATACCACAATTACAGTGTTATAATATTTTATGTTTTCCTGTATACTATTACTAGTGAGTTTTGCACCTTTAGATGATTTCTTGTTGCTTGTTAACATCTTTTTCATTCAAATTAAATAAATCTCTTCAGCATTTTTTATAGTACAGTTCTTGTGTTGATGAAATTCCTCAGCTTTTGTTTGTCCGGAGGTCTTTATGTCTCCTCATGTTTAAAGGCTACTTTCACTGGATATACTATTCTAGGATAAAAGTGTTTTTCCTTCAGCACTTTAAGTATGTCATGCCACTCTCTCCTGACCTGAAAGGTTTCCACTGAAAAGTCTGCTGCCAGGTGTTTTGGAGCTCCATTGTATGTTATTTGTTTCTTTTCTCTTCCTGCTTTTAGGATCTTTTCTTTATCCTTGATCTTTGGGAGTTTGATTATTAAATGCCTTGAGATAGTCTTCTTGAGGTTAAATCTGCTTGGCATTCTATAACCTTCTCATATTTGGATATTGATATCTTTCTCTAGTTTGGGGAAGTTCTCTGTTATTTGAATAAACTTTCTACCTCTATCTCTCTCTTTATTTTCTATTTAAGGCCAATAACTCTTAGATTTCCACTTTTGAGGCTACTTTCCAGATCTTGTAGTTGTGCTGCATTCTTTATTCTTTTTTATTTTGTTTCCTCTGTGTATTTTTGAATAGCCTATCTTCAAGCTCACTAACTCTTTCTTCTGCCTGATCAATTCTTCTAGAGACTCTGATGCATTCTTCAGTATGTCAATTGCATTTTTAACTCCAGAATTCCTGCTTGATTATTTTAAATAATTTAATATCTTTATTGAATTTATCTTACAGGATTCTGAATTCCTTCTCCATGTTATCTTGAATTTCTTTGAGTTTCCTCAAAACAGATATTTTAAATTCTATCTAAAAGGTCACATATCTGTTTCTTCAGGACTGGCCCCTGGTGGCTTATTTAATTCATTTGGTGAGGTCATGTTTTCCTGTATGTTCTTGATGCTTTTGAACGTTCGTCAGTGTCTGGGCATTAAAGAGTTAGGTATTTATTGCAGTCTTCTCAGTCTGGGCTTGTTTGTACTTGTACCTCTTGGGAAAGCTTTTCAGGTATTCGAAGGGATTTGGGTGTTGTGATCTAAGCTATTGGCTACTGCAGCCTTATCTGCTTTAGGGGTCACCCCAAGCCCAGTAATGCTGTGGTTCTTGCAGACTCATAGAGGTACCAGCTTTGTGGTCTTGGGTAAGATCTAGAAGAATTCTCTAAATTATAAGGCAGAGACTCTTGTTCTCTTTCCTTACCTCTCTCACACAAATAAAGTCTTTCTGTGCTGGGCTGCATGGAGCTGGGGGATGTGTGACACAAGCACCGCTGTAGCCACTACCAGTGGGACTGTGCTGAGTCAGACCCGAAGCCAATACAGCACTGGGTCTCACCCAAGGCACTGTGAAACCACTACTTTGCTACCACCTATGTTCATTTAAGGCTCTAGTGTGCTACACTCAGCAGGTGGTGGAGCAGCCAGAATTGTGTTCTTCTCTTTGGGGTGACAGTAAGTTCCCTCGAGTCTTGGGTGGATTCAGAGATGCCATCTTGGAGCCAGCCTGGAGCTGGAAACTTTAGAAATCTACCTGGTGCTCTATTATTACTGCAGTTAAACTGGCACTGAAACTACAAGACAAAGTCCTTTCCACTCTGCCCTACCCTTACCCCAGGCAGAGGAATGTTTCCCTGTGTGCACCACCACCTCAGGCCCACAGGGAGTACTTCCAGGGTACTGCCAATGTTCACTTAAGGCCCAAGGGCTATTCTGTCATATTGTGGTGAATGCTGCCAGGCCTGTGACTCATCCTTCAGGGAAGTGGGCCCTCCTCTGGTGCAGGGTATGTCCAGAAATGCCATAAAAGAGCCAAGGCCTGGAATTGGGGATCCCAAGAGCCCACTTGGTACTTTTCCCCACTGTGGCTGAGTTCATACTTTTCTCAAGCAGAAGGAGTCTCTCCCTGTAGTCACTAGAGCTGTGAATATGCTAGGTCACACCTGAAACCAGCATGTCTCAGAGTCTCACCCAAGGTCCACAGCATGTACTACCTGGTTATCACCACTGATTATTCAGAGCTGAAGGGCTGTTTAGTCAGCAGGTAATGAATACTGCCAGGACTGGTTTCTTCTTTTCAAGATAGTGGGTTCCCTCCCAGCCCAGGATATGCCGAGAAATGTCATCTGGGAGCTTGGTCCTCTAGTGGGGCTCTCACGACTCTGACTGGTGTCTTTTCCTGCCTTGACTGAGCTGGTATCAAAGTTGCAAAACAAAGTCCTCTTTTCTTTTCCTTCTCTTCTCCTCAAGCAGAAAGAAGGGGTTTCTTTAAGAGCTGCAAGTTGTGCTGCCTGGGGTTGGGGGAGCAATGATGCAGGTGCTCCCTTAGCCACCCTGGCTTGTGTCTCACTAGGTTGAGTGCCCTCCAACTCCACTGGCTCTGAACCTAGCACAGCACTAGGACTGGTGGCCTAGACAGCCTTTCAACTTTATTTAGAACTTTATTTAGAACCCCAGAGCGCTGTAGCCCATGGTGGGGAGGCCTGTCAAAACTCAAGTTCGAACCCCTGGGATGGATGATTCCCCTCTGGTTATGGCTGGTCTAAATGCTCCCTCCGTGGGCATTGGCTGAGTCCTGCCTGGTGTTGGCATCACTGATTTCCAATGCAAAGTCCCACAGTCACTGCACTCTCCCTTCCCCAAGTGCACAGATTCTCTCTCTGTGCTGTAAGACTGCTGCAGGGGGAGAGGGGAGGGGTAATTTAGGCAATTTAAGACTGTCTTTCCTACCCTATTTAGTGCCTCTTTCAGTGATAGGAAGTTTAAAACCAGGTACTGTGATTGCTCACTTGATTTTTTCTTCTTATGAAGGTGCTTTTTTTGTGTGTAGATAGTTGTCAAAGGTGGTGTTTCTGCTGCGAGGATGATCTGTGGAGACTTCTACTGGCCATCCTGCTGTGCCCTCAGTCTAACTTTTGAAAGAGCTAAGGTTCTCAATTTTGTTACCATCCATGTTTATTTTTTATATACATCTTATTGTTGCTGTGATCAAATAGACAACCAAGTATTGTTTCTAAGACACCTATGATTCTATCTTAACCAACTGTCCAAATTTCCTCTGGCATTAAAAAAATTTTTAACTTTCTAAAAAAGGGGTCCTAAATATAGAAAAAAAAAAGCCCACAAAACGTTCAGGCCATCTTTTATACCTAAAACTATCTTTGAGATTTCCCAGATAGCCCCTGGAAAATTACAGATATTGTTTCTTTTAGTTTATAAAAAGAGAGATGCTGGAAATTAACTAGATTTGTTTGATGAGTTGCATGGGAAGATTTGTCAAATCAAGAGAGACATTTAGCCATCCCTGTGCTAACATTGTATAGGTAAAATTTTATTAATATTAATTTATCAGAAATTGTATGTTTTATGGTGAAGCCCTGGTATTTGTCAATATTTTCACTGTCCACAATATATTTTAACCCTAAGGAATAACACTGATAAAAACTCTAAGAAATAATTGTGTCAGGTTTTCCTATACTTACGAATCCTGGTAGTGCTTTACCTGTCTAATGAGCTGATGATTTCAGGCAACCACTGCATAATCAGTAATAATATTAGTAATTATTTAAAATTGTACTTGGATGAAACCTTATTCTTTTAATTTTAATGTAGTATTTCTAGTCTAGTAGCTCTCAATTGGGGATGCACATAAGACTTACTTATAAAGTGTTATAGCAGTACAGCTCTCTACACCCTACTCCAGACTTACTGAATCTTTTCACTTGTTATTCTTGGTATATTAGAAGTCAGGATAATTGTATACTATATCTCAAGATTTTTTCTCTATAAAAATTGTTTACCCATTTGTATAAATCAGATGTAACATTCATTGACAATAGACTTAATTGTTGTCAGGCACAGAAAGACAAATATTGCATGTTCTCACTCATACATGGTAGCTAAAATGGTTGATCTCATGGATGCAGAGAGAAGAATGATGGTTACCAGAGACTGGGAAAAGTAGTTGCGTATAGGAGGGGAGGGGTTGGTTAGTGGGTACAAAAATACAGACAGAAGGAATAAGATCTTGTATTTGGTAGCAGAATAGGGCAATGCAGTTCAAAATAATTTATTGGATATTTCAAAATAACAAGAAGCATGGAATTAGAATGTTTCTAACACTAAGAAATGAAGTGTTTAAACTGATAGATATCCCAATTACCCCTATTTGACCCCTACACATTTTATACTTGTATCAAAATATTACATGTATCCCATAAATACTACAACTATTTATTGTGTATCCATAAAAATTAAAAAATAGACAACTATTATCCCCAAAAATATTTTATCAAAAGCAATTTAATGGCAATGTGGAAGTAAGACCCATCTTCTTCATATGTCCCACCACACTCAAGGGGAGGTGATTATAAAGGGTAAGTGCACCACTGAGCAGGAATCTTGGCAGCCATCTTACTTCCCAATCCATCCCCATCAATACTTAAATCAGTGGAAATGGTTTTTTTAATCTTTAATTTATAGTTCAGTTGCCACTTTCAATTTTTTTAGGATTTATTTCTTTTTATAACTTCTCATAATTCAGGGTTGGAAGAGACATAAAAGTGATGTCAGGCTTGTCCGCTTTGTGACCCACACTCTGCTAGTTGTCCTCTCTGCTTCTTCCTGCCTCTGCTACTCCATCTCAGCCTCATTCACTAGTTCTTTGAAAATCCCTTAATATTAATATTCTCTGGGGTTCCATCCTCATCTCTCTGTTGGGAAAAGCTGAGTGTTGGGAGAAGCTGAGGCAGGGCTTGCATGTCTGACATAATGTAAAAGAGTCTTGGAACATGTCTGGGGTACAGAGCCTAAAACCCCTTGTGGCCTTTGGAACACCAAGCTCTGTGCTAAAGTGTGGAAGGCTACCCTGACACACCATAATCTAAGCCCAGGGCATAAAACCCCTCATGGCTTGAATAGAATCCAGGGCTCATGGCTCTGGAATGTGTCTAGACTTGCTGGCTCCTTGCTCCTTGCTCTCCCAGGATCGACTGTATCTTGAGTTAAAAGAACCTGCTTTCCATTATCTCAAGCAGAAGAACATGTTCCATGTGCCGCAAAGGAAATGCTAAACCGTCACAGCTGTAGATCATGTGCTTGCCCTTTCGACCCCCACATTCTCACACCCTGTTTCTTTGTTTGATCACCAATAAATAGTCTGGGCTTCCAGAGCTCAGGGACTTCACAGCCTCCATACTTAGTGTTGGCCTCCTGGACCCACTTTTTCTCTGAAACTGTCCTTTCTCATTCCTTTGACTCCACCGGACTTCGTTGCCCCCACGACCTGATGTCGGGCCCGATCACCCCAACATTCCTGGCTGCCCAGTGTGGGGCAGCAAAGACCCCAGTGAAGGAACGCTAGAGTGTGTAAAAGCAGAGGATGCATTGTCAAAGGACACCCGAGGACGACTGAAAGAAGCTTGGTGGGAAAGCTGAGTGCTCGGAAGAACCGGGGTGACAATGGGACAAAGTGAAAGCAAACATTCTGCTTACTTGAATTTCTTGAGGCATTTATTATGAAGAGGGTTAGGCACGGGGTAAGACCCAGTGGAATCTGAGGCTTGTTTATTCAGAGGGCTCCATTTAGAGAAAAAGAAGAGAAAGTGAGGACTTAGAAGGAGCCTGGGCAAGTAAAGTCATCTTGAAGCTTCAGTTTCATGGTTAACCTGCCTCTGCTAGAGAAAAACAGATTTAATGAGTACAGAGGCATGATATGGGCTGCATGTAAAGAAATTTGGACTCAAGGCCCCAAGGAATATTTGTCTGAATTGTGGAATATGCTTGAAATTGGTATGTTAGCAATTTTTGCAGCATCATTCATTGCAAGATTCAGGGCATTCTGGCCTGCTTCCAAAGCCCAGAGCATCACTGATGAAAAGACAGAAATAAAGAAAGAGGGAGACACACTCAGAAAGAGGGCCAGAGAACACCCTGCAGGCAAAACCTCTAACAGAGCCATACAAGATGGGAATCCGGTTCAGAATTATGGTGTTCTGAAATCACAAAACTACCAAACTAATAAGGCTTAATGAGTCAGTATAAAAAGAACGAGTCTTCCCAGTTTGCGTTAAGCACATTTTTTGTTGTTGCTACATTTTGTCCTGCATATTAAAATAAATGAAATAATGTACTTAATGATGTGTTTGATAACCATGCAAAGCAGATAATAGCTGACTAGACATCTGTATAGTGCCACTTCCAAAGGCCAAAGTATCCTTCAGATCTTAAGGCTACCTTAGTCAATGGAAGTTTTCTCAAAGTCTCTCTACACTTGTCTACAGTTTTGAATGTGAATTACTGCACCAGAATCATAGGAAATCAGCTGTTAATCACACAAAAAGTCTCAATCTTTGACTAACATTTTTAAAAGGAAGTGACATTATTTTTCTCTACTGAAACTTGTTCTGCTTCTCTCCCTAAAAATATACGCCAGTTGCTAAGTATTCAGCATTGACTTTTCTACCACAGAATACCCATAACAACAGTAATAATCGCCTGCATTTACCGAGCACCTGATATGTGCTGGGTATTATTCTATTCTAAGCAGTTCACATGTAATAGCTCATTTAATTCTCATAAAAGTCAGTGTGTTCCCTATCCCTATATTATTAATGTAGAAATCAAGAGAAGAGAGGGTAAGTAATTTGCCTAAAATTATGCAGTTACTTGTAAATGACCGACCTTGGGTTTGAACTGCTCTATGTCTCCACAGCCTGTGTTTGTAACCGAGTTCTTCAGTCTCCCAGAAGGCAGTAAAGGCCACTGATATCCAGTGACCCCTTAGAGAGATTTTTGCCAGTATCTGGATGAAAGCCAACAGTGTTATGTGTGCCCGATACCAAAACAACTATGTTCCAAGAGTATAATTTATGATGGTCTGTGTGTGGCATGTGCGTGTGCTTGCAAGCACACATAACATTAGATTCTGCATCTAGCGTCATAAAATACAACTTGTTTTTCAAGCCCAAGTCTTGCCTAATTCCTTGCATCTGTAAGAAAAAGGCCTGGCATGATTTGCTAAGGCTCCAGGACCACCCTGATTGAGAGATTTCCACTTCTCCAACTCTCCCCAACTTCAACCAATGTAAGTAGATGTAGCTTCTTCAATGCTTACGCCCATCTTTCTCTTCCTATTGGCACCAGCTGGTTCAGACTTTCATTACTTCACCCCTGAAACAAGAAATAGCCTCTTTCTATTCTCACTTTGAAGCATCCTCTATATACTGATTCCAGGCTTATCTTTTCAAAACACTATGCTGATCACTAAATTGAACAAATAATTTTTGCATTGGCTCCTCATTTTCCAACACAGTTAAATAGGTGCTCCGTTCATACTGCTTCTCCACATTCTGTCCTCTGTCTTTGCAGCTTTGCCCCTATTTGCCACAAACACCCAGTACTCTAGATAATTTGGAATAGTCTCTATTATAGTTTATTTTCCCTGCTATTGCACATTTGCTCCTGCTGTTACATATACCTACAGTGCTCTATCTCAGCATTTCTGCCAGTCAGTAGTCCACTTGTTTTCTAGGTCTGAGTTCAAAAACCAATATCCTATATGAAGCTTTACCTGACAGTTTCACCCTTACTCCCACTTCCAGGAGAATAAATTGCCTCCTCATTGTTGATCTTCAAGGGCTTTTTCATCCTTGGAGCATAACTTTGTCTTTATGCTCTTGGTTTCCTCAGACCCTAATATAGTACCTAGTGTAGCACACAGCAGATGCTTCATAAATGCTGCATGAAATTGTTTAATAAACTCTGTACATATCTTCTCCAGCCAGAAATAATTTATTCCTCTGCAAACCTCCACACTTAGCACTTCTCTTCTGCTGCTTACTTTAACTCTTTTTCTATTGTTTTAATCTTTCTTCCTTGTCCAATCTCTCCTACACTTTATAAATTTGTTGTCGTTATGGGCCTTATATGATTTACAACACATGAAATCTTCATATAAAAATGCACTTGGTAAATATCTAGTGAAGTGAGTGAATGGAAATACAATTCACAATCCTAAACAGGTATACTTTAAAAAATTCTTAATTATGTCTTCTGTGCTAGATTTCGAACAACCCTATGCTCTGCTTAGCTGGATAATTACATGCATGTTACAGTTATGCTCCTTTCTTTCTACCTCAGACCAGAGCCATACTACAAGGTTGTATGGATATAAGAGTTTTGACATGTATTAGTAAGGCAGTAAACAGAGGGCTTCTGATGGGAGAACCCAGGAGACACAGAAAGTAGGAAGTTTATTCTTCTGACAAAAAGAAGTTAATAAGTGAATGAGACTAAGAACACGGGGAACCCTGAGAATGATGAGATATGACCCTGACTAGGGTAGGAGATAGGTGTCTTCAAAGAGTGGCATCCAGGAGACAGGGCGGGAGGAACAAGAACAGCTCCTCTCCTAGTCTAGGAGCAGCTCCTTGGCTAAAGTGGAATGGATGTGGCATCTTCAAGTTCTAGAGCTCCTAGAGCTGGCCTACATACAGCTTGTGGCAGAACCAGATGGAAGTATTAGATCACCTGAAAGACAGGTTACTGGCTACCCTATGCTCTGCTTAGCTGCATGGGGTTTGTACTACAGAATTCCTCATTTTGTAGAAGAGTTGATTGTTTATATGCTGAGATTTATGATGAAGGCATGGAAAGAAAATATGGAATATGATTGTTGTTGTAGGTGGTCCCACACATTTGATTAGAAGAGGAAATTCTATTGATCTTCAGATAGTGGCCATGCAAGATTCAGAGGAGATGAGGCCAGTCTCTGTATTGATGGCTTGCTATCTTTACTACATGGCCCAAGGCAACACTCTCGGTTGATTGTCCAGAAGGAACTGGCTCAGACTACTCTGCACTCTCTCTTGCTCACCTTTCTACCTGGCAGCTCTAGGGTTTGAGATTAGCACATAAACATTTGCCTTCCTCTCTTTTTTTCCTGGGCTTCTCTACAACATACATTGGTTATTTATGGGAAGCCTTTTCTTAGTTATAAAACATAGAGAGTCAGTATTAAGAGAATTCTTATTTCTCATGGAATGTCTTTCTTGCAAAGATAGAACTACTGTCCTCAGATGGCAGTCTATGAAAGGTCTGTAAATTATAGATCCTGTGGTTAATGATTTTTTCCAAGATGGCTCACAGTTAAAACTTACACTATTTCAGTTTCATTTTCAGTTCAGTGGTGGTCTTCATAAAAAAAGAAATATATCTTTTCTATACTCTGTACAAACTTTCTGACAGCCTATGTCTGTATCACACAGTGTTTTTTCTTTTCTTTCTTTCTTTTTTTTTTTTGATGGGACAGCTTTCTTTTTCTTTAGTTTGTTTTTTCTAAATTATGCAGAAACACAGCAGAAAAATAAAGACACTCATACACCTTCTCCAGTCTCTCCTGGGTCGGTTCATAGCCTGGTTACTTCCTTGAAGGGAGAGAATTTTGGTTCCCATCCAGCCAGCCCCTGAGTATCATTTAATTATGCACCTCACCAGGCTGTCCCCCTTCCCCCAGCTTAGCCCTTCCTGATGTCCTCTTAATCCAATTCCCATCTATTAAAAATGTTCCTGTCCTGGGCTGCACTTGTGTGCCGGGTTTCAAAGATGAGGGTGGACATGTGCGATCACACAGTGTTTTTTCAGTGCTATGATCCCTTAATGGATTAAAAAAACAGTTTATCCAAATTATTGCATGCCATGATTTTAAAAAAAATCCAGGTAGTATTGAAACACTTGTATTAAAAAACAGCAGTTGGTTAATCCACATCTCCCCATTTCAGTTTCTTTGTTTCTTCTGGGTTTTATCATCATCATGCTTTAAAAATATAATTCCTCTATCTTGATTTTTTTTCAACTTTAGCCAATGTTTATTATTGAAATTATTTAACTGTCTTACAAATCTTACATTTCTTAACCACTTCCCCTTGCCCCATTCTCCCAATTCAGCTATATCATAATTTCTAAAATTAAATTATTGGTCCATGTGCATATTGCTATAGGCATGCAACATGGACTACTGTCGAGTCAAGCATTGAAGTTTGAAATGTTTTCTTTCTAGTATACCTCTTCAGTTTCCTTCAATTTTTTGGTAGTTTCTCATGTGTCTATCCAACTGCCTCCTGAGATTTGTCAAATACCTATTAAATTATCACATTAGATATGTATTGATTTCATTCCCTCACATCCCCAATGAATCTCTAGCCTTGAGTTTTCTTTTCTTCTGCTCCAAATGACATGAGTTAATTTCTAGTTGTGAGTAGAGCTACCATCATGATCCTTCCATTTGCTGTTTTCCTGTGTTGTGCCTCCAGTGTCCTGGATCACAAAACTTCTTTCTTGATTTATTTCCTCATTTTTTTAAAGCATATTCTCCAGTAGTTTCCTAAGAAAGGGTGCATGGGTGGTTATTATTCTGAGTTTTAGTATGTCTGAAAATTTCTACACTCAGCCAACCTATCAATCAAATATGAATTTTTCACTCTCATATTTGATTGATACTTGGGCTGAGTATAGAAATTTTATCCTAACTTTTTTTTCTTCTCAGAATTATGTAAACATTAATTTATTGTCTTATATCTTACGGTGCTACATTGGAAAGTCTGATGTCATGCTGATTATGTATACTTAGGGTTTAAAAAATCTCTAAGAATTTTATTTTGGGTATTCTTAAATTTCAAGATGTCTTAAAATAAATCTTTAAAAGTTTGTTATTCAGTGTTTCATGAAGATTTTCAATCTAGAAGGTCATGTCCTCTTGTCATAGGAGTTTTTCTGGCTATTTCTGTTTTATCTTTCTTCAATTCACTTTCTCTACTTTTTCTTTCTAGAAATCTTACTGCTGAAATTCCTGAGTTGATCCAGTAATTTTGTTATCTTATCTCCGTTGGTTTATAGCTCTTTGTCTTTTTGGCCTCTTTCTTGTTCTTTTATTTCCTGATAACATCATGGTTTTGTTTTACAGATTCTTATCTCTCTAAGAATACTAACACAATGTTTTAGGTGACCTTTTCTTCTATTTCCTGCAGTGCGCCTTTTTCCCCCAAATTCACTTTTATTATTTGTGTTTATTTCAGTTTTTCATGTTGGAGGCTTTCTAAGATGTTTTGTGATCTGTGGCTGTCCATTTACATTTTTCTGTGATCAGTGGCTGTCCATTTACATTTTTCTAACAGCTTGATTGAGATACACTTCGCATACCATAAAATCCACCAATTTAAAGAGTACACTTAAATGATTTGTAGCATATTCAAAGAGTTGTGCAACCAACACAATAAACCTTAGAATATTTTTCAAGGTTTATCCATGCAGCTGCATGTATGAATACTTCATTTCCTTTTATTACTAAATAATGCTCCATTTTATGGACATATCACATTTTGTTTATTCATTTATTAGTTTATGAACATTTGGGTTGTTTCTACTTTTTGACTATTATAAATAAGGCTGCTATGAATATTCATGTATAAATTTTTATGTGGACATGCTTTTATTTCTCGTGGGTGTATGTTAGGAGTAGAATTGTTGAATCACATAATAGTTCTGTATGGAACTTTTTAAAGAATTGCCAAAAAGTTTTTCAAACTGTTGCACTATTTTACATTCCAACCAGCAATATCTGAATGTTTCGTTTTGTCCACATCTTTGCCAATAGTTGTTATTATCCACCCTTTTTAAAAAAATTATAGCCATTCTAGTGGGTATGAAGTGGTATCCCATTGTAGTTCTGACTGCACTTTTCTAATGGCTAATGATGTTAAGCATCTTTTCATGTGCTTATTGGCCTTATATCTATCTTCTTTTGAGAGATGTCTTTTCATACAGGTCTTTCATCCATTTTTAATTGGGTTACTTGTCATTTTATTATTGTGTCATAAAAGTTTTTAAAATATATTCCAGATGCAAGTCCCTTATCAGGTCTATGACTTGCAAGTATTTTCTCTCATTCCGTGAGTTGTCTTTTTCAATTTATTGACATTATCCTTTGAAGTATAAAAGGTTGTAATTTTGATGAAGTCCAATTTATCTTTTTTCTTGTTTTGTGGCTTGTGGTTTAGGTGTCATACCTAAGAAGTCTTTTCCTAACCCACAGTCACAAAGATTTACTCCTATGCTTTTTTCAGTGAGTTTTATAGTTCTACATTTAGGTCTATGATCTATGTTGAGTTATTTTTGTGTCTGGTTTTAAGAACAGGATATAACTTAATTCTTAATTCTTTTGCATGTGGATATCCAATTGTCCCAGCACCATTTGGAATGAAATACTGAAAGACCAATTAGAAGTGTTGTGTTCATGAGAGGGCTAATCAATGAAGAGGCTTTAGTTTAGAGTTATAGGCAGCAAGCTGGCCTTTTCCTTGAGTCCCCTGAAAAACTGTACTAGTCTGTTCTCACACTACCATAAAGATACCTAAAACTGGGTAATTTATGAAGAAAAGAGGTTTAATTGACTCACAGTTCCAAAGGCTTAACAGGAAACATGACTGGGAGGCCTCAGGAAACTAACAATCATGGTGGAAGGCAAAGGGGAAGCAAGCATCTTCTTCACAAGATGGCAGGAGAGGGAGAGAGAGAAAGGGGAAAGTGCTATACACTTTCAAACAATGAGATCTTGTGAGGACTCACTTACTATCATGAGAAAAGCAAGAGGGAAGTCTGCCTTCATGATTCAATCACCTCCTAGAAGGTCCCTCCCCTGACATGTGGGGATTACAATTTGAGATGATATTTGGGTGGGGACGTAGAGCCAAATCATATCAAAAGGTAATATTCAAAGACACATCACTCTGTCTTCAACCCTGTACCTTACTTACCCCATTGCTCCTATTGCTTCCAGGTCTGGGACATCTCTAGCTCAATTTCTTCAAAAAGTTAATCTGTGATCATTTAGGGAGAAATGATTGGTAGGTGTGTAGAAGAAGGTTGTTACCTGTCCATGTGGGTTGGGGAAAAAGATCTGGGAGTGCTCAGCCACTTTAGATGCAGCCATTTTACATGCAGACTTTCAACTTATTTCCCAGATTTCAACCTTTTGCTGTATCCACACTTTGCTGCCTCCACTTCCTGTGAAACTCAGTTCTTGTGAGTGTCAGTGGAGCAAACTGGCTCATTCCTTATCAGTGAACTATCTACTTTCAGCGGGTACTTCAGTTTTAGCTTCCTCCACTCTGCCAAGTCAATTACTGTACCTCTTTTTCATTTTATCAATTGAAAATTTACTGAAAGCTCTTGTCTGCTGATTACTCATATCTATTTCCCTCATTTTGGTTATTTATTTTAATTGTATTCAGGAGCAAGAGAAGATACCCATGTGATAAGTATGCCGCGTTTAACAGGAAGTTTCTCTTCAGTTCCGACTGCACAACTTTCAACAGAACATTATTTCAAACCAGATTTAGCTTATTTCAGTAGGAGATTAAGTCACAAATATAAATTTACAGTTAAAGAGAGAAAGCAGAAGAGGATAATTTTTCTAAATTAAAGTCTACATTCCATGTGAAATGCCATCCTGTTGGATCTTATTGGCAAGTTTAACCTCCCTGAGGGCAGGCACCAAGTTTCTGTTTCACCACCGATTTCTCAGAGCTTAGCACAGTTGTGAAATACACAGGAAGCTCTCAATAGATGTTTTGGAAATGAATAGAAGGATTAATGAGCATTCATTACTGATTAGTTTGAAAATTTATCTTTTTAGACTTATTAACATATATGTAATGAAATCAGTATTTTCTTTTGAGTGTGCTTTGGTTTCATGTTATTGTAAAAATTCTAAAAAGATATTTAAATTTATGTCATATAGAGACATTTGCTTTGAGTTTAATATTTTTCTTGTTGGGCTGCATTCAAAGCCATCCTGGGCCACATGCAGCCTGTGGGCCGCGGGTTGGACAAGCTTGGCTCAGAGAGTTTATGTGACTTGCCTAACAAACTCAGATCAGTTCAAAGCCTATGCCCTCCTTACTTTCTTTGCTGTGGCAAAGGACTTAATGATGAGTCTTCTAGTATATATTTGATAATATGGGATAGTTGCATAATAGGAGTGACTCTTCCTCTACTTGTAAGTAACTGAATCTCTGTTAAAAGGTACGTTTCATTTTTACTCTCCCCTGTCAGTAGTCTGTAATAAAAATTATACCTAAAAAAACCTTTTTTCTTGTATGGAAAATACATGTCACCAAGACACCATGATAACTGTAAATAAAACAAATTACTTAAAGTTGAGGAATGAGGAGAAAAATAGGCAAACAGAGAACATTATAATATTATATGGTTACAATTTTATATGGCTTTACTATCCATATTTACTAGACCTTGATTTAATCTATGAGTAAATTCCATAATTGGAAAATGTAAAATAGGAGGTGTAGGTTATTTAACTTCTCAAAATGCTTGCTTTGCTGGGAAAGTTTCAGATAACTTTTAGATTCAGCATACCTAAGTCGTTAAGTTGGCTCCAATTCATTGCCTATGTCTTGAATTGCTGCCGAGTAATCTCTTCAGGATTGCTGGAAGGTGTTGCTGCTTGCCTTTTCAAGAATAGTTGAGACAGGATCAAGAAAAGAACATCTTCCCATTATTATGAAAAAATGTAGAAGCAAAACAGTCGTCCCCCCAAAGGGTGGAAAAATTGTTTGATCAAGCAGAGCTTGATAATTACAATCTGTTTTGTTTGGTTTTGTTTTGGCTTTAATCTCTTTATAACTAGTGGCACTCATTAATTTTCTTTGTTATCATCCATTAGGTATTTTCTAAATTATATGAACATGATTTTTTGAAATCTCAAATAATAATAATTTAAAAAGTCATTTACAGTACATTTCTTACAATACTATGATTATGTAAATATTTCACCAGTAGAAACAAATATTAAGCTTGCAGCTACAGAGAAATATATTATTGTCATTTATATTTTTCTAAAGAGAACCTTTTATAAGCCCAAACCCAATAAATTCACTATTTAATTTTGTCTTTCACATCTGAGTCACACTCAACTGCTGATGTTTATTATGTCTTAAATCTTCCTGTTTCTTGGAATCATCCTACATTTTGTTACTTTATCTATTCAAATAGCAATGAATGCTAGACTTCCTAAATTCTTGCATGTCCAAATGTCTTTATTTTGCCTGCCCATTTGATTAACACTTGTTTGGGTAGAGAATTCTAAATCCAAAACTTCAGAATTGACAAATCATTATTCTGTTGCAAATGAAGCATCTGATGTCCACCTGATTTACAATACTCTGTATATTATTGTTTTTCTCTCTGGAGGTTGAAGGTTTTCTTTGTTTTGGAGTTCCAAAATTTCACAGTTATGTGTCTAGATAGGTTATTTTGAAAAAAAGTTATTTTTTGGCACTTAGTGGTGTCTGTCAAGTCTTTTTTCAGCTCAATGCATTTTCTATTCTTGTTTCTTGAATATTTTCTTTCTTCTGTTCATCCCGTTTGCTTTTTTTTTTTTTTTTTTTACAACTCCAGTTAGGTGGCTATTGAACTTCCTGAATATATCCTCCATGTCTCTTAACTTATCTCCTACTTTTAAAATAGGCAATGTAGAATACTAATTAAGAGCATGGTCTCTGGGGGGTCACATTCTGTGGATTTGAATTTCAGCTTTGTTACCTGTTAGCTGTGTGACTTTGAGCATGTTACTTAACCCCTCTATGTATATAATAATTATCCTTAGCTCAAAAAAGTTGTTGTCAGAATTAAATTAGTTACTATAACTAAAGCCATTAGAATAGCCTGACACAAATTAAACTACTCTTATTTCCTTATTGACTCTTTGCTCTACATATTCTAAAGAGTTCATTGGATTTACTTTTATACCATGGTTTTGTCTATTTGTCCAAGTCATTATTCAGTCCATTTATTAATTTTTTAAAAATTTGGGCAATTGTATTTTTAATTGCAACAAACTCTTTTCCATTTTTTGATTGTTTTATTTTCATAGTAGCTTATATTTTCAATTGCAAAATCTTCTTTATTCTGATATTAAGTTTTTAAGTGTAAATTCTTGTTTGCTCACTAAGGTGTTACCTTTTCTGCATGGTTTTTCCTTTACATCTTGGTCTTTCTCCTTCGTGGTGTTGGTTTTTCTCAAATGACTGGTAACCCTTGATTTCCTTTTTCTGTTTATGAATATTGGTAAGTATACATACCGAGCTTAAGGCAAGCTCAGTATGTATACTTCATGAAGTCAGAAGTTGGTGAATTTCAGAAAACATTAGGAGAGTTTTCTTTTCTTTTTCTATTTTTTTTTTTTTTTTTCTGGAGACGGAGTCTCGCTCTGCTGCCCAGGCTGGTGTGCAGTGGTGCGATCTCGGCTCACTGCAGCCTCCACTTCCCAAGTTCAAGCAATTCTCCTGCCTCAGCCTCCCGAGTAGCTGGCCCTACAAGTGTGCACCACCACGCCCAGCTAATTTTTTCCTTTGCAGTTGTGTTCAACTATACTCCCACCCCTTCAGTCTGGCTCTGTTATCAGTCAGGGTCCAAGCAGGAAAACATAAACCACTCTTCGTATTCCAAACATTGATACAGATCAAATTTAAAGCAGAGATTCTTTAAAAGATTGTTGGACATTCTGGAGGAGCAACAGCGATAAGATTAAGTTACTCAAAGATTAATAACTACAGGAAACTGCCACTATCTTTGTGCCAAACAGGTAAAACTCTGCCCAAAGATTAGGTAGGATATGCAGCTCAGGTTCCTGCTGTTGGAACCCAGCTGCCTGAATAGGAGCCCAGTAATTTGATCTAAATGCTTGGAACTGGGATCTACAAAACTTAAATGTCTCTAGAAGCTTGGCATGTCCTGTGATGTGTGAAGCAGGTGGGCCAGTGGGCATAAAAGAAGGGAGGTAGAAATGGTGACTAGCTGGAGAATGCATGCTCTGCCCAAGGCATTTGCATTTAATTTTTCCAAATTATTATGCTGTCGAACAAAACTGATTTTCACCTAAAACCTATGCCTGCTCATTTTTATCTCTGAAAAATATATACATATTTATTTTAAAGAAAAACTCATTTTCATATTTACCAAAGGGCTAATGCACTTCACAGAGAATTAGTTTACTATTATTCGTAGAGTTGAACTTTAGCAACTTGTATCCTATTTCATCTTTTTATTATAATCATATATCGTAATATGGTTTTGGTCATACAAGTCTAAGAATTCCGTTGGTTTTTGTTAAGTTCTTTTGAGGGTATAGAAAAATAATTCTGTTACTTTTAATATTTTATAGTCTGTTTTTGTAGCTATGTCTGACAAACATGAGCTAGAGTATCATTATGATCTGGATGCTTTCCAGATATGAATATCGCTTTTCAGACCATAAAAGGAGCCTCGGGATCATTGGCAAATGGACTAGAACTGACTGAACCTCAGAACGACTAACTTTATGCTGACTGAAGCAGTGGAGAAAAGAAAACAAGAGAAAGCAAACTGGACCTGTCATATAATCACTTAATTTTTGTCATACACTATTAAATTTATGGGGGATAAAAAACCTATACCAAAACCAAGCCATTATCTTCAATCTGAGGAGAAGGGAACTGAGTTTTTGTGTGCCAAACACATGCTAGAAACTGTATATGTACACTTTATTTCTCAAATCAACCACATAGGGCAAGCATTTTAGTCCATGTTACAGATGGAAAAACGGAGGCTTACAGAATTTTAAGCACTTTACCAAACAGCTATTATATGGCAGCTCTGATATTCAAACCTAAATGTCACATCCTGGGGTCCAGGTCCAGCCCATGCTGAAGTCTGAGGGGAGTGGGCGGATGGACAGAAAGAACACTCGGGGGGCCGTAGGCAGGTGAAAGATGATTTTATTTAGCAACAGCTCTCATTAACAGCTTACTTACACTAGCTGCTTACACTGTCCTCCCTGTCTTGGCTGCCTGAGCCGGTGGCTCCCACACACCACTGTGTGGCCGGCTCTCTCTTGCCTTCAGGGTCAGCAGCTCTCTCTTGCCTTCAGAGTCAGCAGCTTAACTCTTTCTCTGGGCGTGAGCAAGCTGAACTGTGTCCTTGCTCTCTCTTGCAGACGGACAGCTTTGGCTCTCTCTTTCTCTGGGTGCCAGTGCGCCTGCAATTCCAAGCCATGTTGAGCTGAGCTGAGCCCCAAGCGCCCCTGTACAGCATTAGCAGGGCAATTATACCTTTTGCAGACAATAGTGGCTCAGAGTCAAGTATGAAACTGTGCACCAAACTCACTTAGTCATGCACGCCTGGATATCTGCTTCAGCATATTCCTTGACCAAAGCACATCCATATACCTTACACTAAATCTGTTTGAGTTCAACAACCAGATTGTTTCCTCTATACCACACTATCTCTTCATGAAGTCAGAAGTTGGTGAGAATTTCAGAAAACCGTAGGAGACTTTTCTTTTTCTTTTCTTTTTTTTTTATTTTCTGGAGACAGAGTCTCACTCTGTTGCCCAGGCTGGTGTGCAGTGGTGCGATCTCAGCTCATTGCAACCTCCACTTCCCAAGTTCAAGCAATTCTCCTGCCTCAGCCTCCCGAGTAGCTGGGATTACATGGTGCGCACCACCACACCCAGCTAATTTTTGTATTTTAGTAGAGATGGGGTTTCACCATGTTGGTCAGGCTGGTCTTGAACTGTTGACCTCAAGTGATCTGCCCGCCTCGGCCTCCCAAAGTGCTGGGATTACAGGTGTGAGCCACCGTGCACTGTCAGGAGAGTTTTCAAGAGGTGCCAATGTTCCCCTAACACTGTTTTTTTTAAAAAAAAATATAATTTTTGACATTTTCCTGGTTAATTTGCAAGCAGAGCAATAAATGAGTAGAATTATTCCAATTTAACATCCTCTTAGATAACTATGGAGCCAAGGCAAGTGCTGAAGATCATCTGGCAATCTTCTGCCCCTTTCCACAAATAGAGCTGGGATGACTCATGTGCGTGGAACTGGTATTAAACACACACACTCAGCACCCTGAGCTGTGGTCCTCAGTGACTTACTTCTTCTCTGAATGTTGACAGCAGGGCCTAAAATCATAGCTAGGAATAAAAGGGGGCCAAGAAATTAGATACTGCTCTCAACTTCCAGAAACCTCACAGTGACATGATGAAAAAACCAGAGTAGGGCTTCAATAGGCAGCTGAAAGATTAAATTCTAGGATGGTAGAATTAACCAATGTGAAGTATAATTGTTCAAGGGTCAATTGATTCTGTGACTCGTATAAATAAGATGCCCCTGAAAGCCTGGCAGTTCACAAACACTGTCTGGTTTTATTTCCTTCTAAGATCAATGTGTTGATATGTTTATGAGCAGATAATAGGCATTGCCTAATACCACTAATTGCCACTTAGTGTTAATCTTGGGCTTTCTTCTTCCTATGTGCTTTAAAATATCTTTATTGGTTAATTAGAATAGCACCTGCTGTGAAGGAGGTAAGTTAGTGTTGCCATCTGCATCTGCAGGTTAGAGACTAGAAGTCAATAACCACTACCCTGTGGAGACCTCACCTCAGTTTTTCCTTTGCTACATCCTGTTTCAAAATTAGGTGTCTCTTGGTGGACCCACCTACTTGTTAATACTGTAAATAAAATAAAATTCCTAACTGGCTTCCTAATGTCTTCCTGTCTTCCTCTAATATAATGGTCCTTAAACTTTAGCATACATCAGAATCATCTGGTGTGCTTCTTAAAACACAGTTTGCTGGGGCCTCACCCTGACAGCTCCTTATTCACCAAGTCTAAGGTGGACCCCCAAAATGTATATTTCTAGCAAGTTCTCTAGTGTTGCTGATGCCACCTGCCTGAGGGCCACACTTTGAGAACTACTGCTCTAACCAGATACTTCAAGGCTGTCCTAAAAGACAAAGGCCTAACACATAAGTCTTTAATCCATCTTGAATTAATTTTTGTGTAAAGTGTAAGGAAGGGATCCAGTTTCAGCTTTCTACATATGGCTAGCCAGTTTTCCCAGCACCATGTATTAAATAGGGAATCCTTTCCCCATTGCTTGTTTTTGTCAGGTTTGTCAAAGATCAGATAGTTGTAGATATGTGGCATTATTTCTGAGGGCTCTGTTCTGTTCCATTGTTCTATATCTCTGTTTTGGTACCAGTACCATGCTGTTTTGGTTACTGTAGCCTTGTAGTATAGTTTGAAGTCAGGTAGCGTGATGCCTCCAGCTTTGTTCTTTTGGCTTAGGATTGACTTGGCAATGCAGGCTCTTTTTTGGTTCCATATGAACTTTAAAGTAGTTTTTTCCAATTCTGTAAAGAAAGTCCTTGGTAGCTTGATGGGGATGGCATTGAATCTATAAATTACCTAAAACCATAGAAACCCTAGAAGAAAACCTAGGCAATACCATTCAGGACATAGGCATGGGCAAGCACTTCACGTCTAAAATACCAAAAGCAATGGCAACAAAAGGCAAAATTGACAAATGGGATCGAATTAAACTAAAGAGCTTCTGCACAGCAAAAGAAACCACCATCAGAATGCACAGGCAACCTACAGAATGGGAGAAAATTTTTGCAACCTACTCATCTGACAAAGGGCTAATATCCAGAATCTACAATGAACTCAAACAAATTTACAAGAAAAAAACAAACAACCCCGTCAAAAATTGGGCAAAGGACATGAACAGACACTTCTCAAAAGAAGACATTTATGCAGCCAAAAAACACATGAAAAAATGCTCATCATCACTGGCCATCAGAGAAATGCAAATCAAAACCACAATGAGATATCATCTCACACCAGTTAGAATGGCGATCATTAAAAAGTCAGGAAACAACAGGTGCTGGAGAGGATGTGGAGAAATAGGAACACTTTTACACTGTTGGTGGGACGTAAACTAGTTCAACCATTGTGGAAGTCAGTGTGGCGATTCCTCAGGGATCTAGAACTAGAAATACCATTTGACCCAGCCATCCTATTACTGGGCATATACCCAAAGGATTATAAATCATGCTGCTATAAAGACATATGCACACATATGTTTATGGTGGCACTATTCACAATAGCAAAGACTTGGAACCAACCCAAATGTCCAACAATGATAGACTGGATTAAGAAAATGTGGCATATATACACCATGGAATACTATGCAGCCATAAAAAATGATGAGTTCATGTCCTTTGTAGAGACATGGATGAAGCTGGAAACCATCATTCTCAGCAAACTATTGCAAGGACAAAAAACCAAACACTGCATGTTCTCACTCATAGGTCGGAATTGAACAATGAGAACACATGGACACAGGAAGGGGAACATCACACACCGGGGCCTGTTGTGGGGTAGGGGGAGGCGGGAGGGTTAGCATTAGGAGATATACCTAATGTAAATGACGAGTTAATGGGTGCAGCACACCAACATGGCACATGCATACATATGTAACAAACCTGCACATTGTGCACATGTACCCTAAAACTTAAAGTATAATAATAATAAAAAAAAGACAAAGGCATGGGCAGTCTTTAAAGACTTTGTGAAAGAAACACCAAGGAACAAGTAGATGCTCTGTTTTCCCCTTTGAAATAAATGGAGGTCAAGGGAAAGCTACAATGACTCTAATTTAGTGGATATCAAAGAATGGTTCCCCAGCCAGAAGTATCTGCATCACCTGGTAACTTGCAAGAAAGGCAAATTCTCAGGTCCTACCCAGACCAGCTGAATAAGCAATTCTGGAGGTAAAGCCCAGCGATCTGTGGTTAACAAGCCCTCCAAGCACTAACATGTGAAAACCACTGACTTCGATCTCGTCTCTACATGACAGTCAGAGTGACCTTTTTTTATTGAAATTTTTAGTGTGATAATTGTAGATTCACATGCAGTATAAAAAGTAACACAAGAAGATTGCCTGTACACTTTCCCCAGTTCCCCCAATGGGAAGATTTTGCAAAGCTATAGTCTAATAATGTTATTAACATTGACATGGCACATCTATTTTCATCAGATTTTTCCAGCTCTACTTATAGTCATTTGCATGTGTGTATGTGTGAGTGTGTATACTTGTGAATATATGTGTGAGTGTATTAAGTGCTATACAGGCTTATCACCTGTGGTTTCACATACCCACCACCAGTCAACTTTCAATACTGCAAGAATCCTTCGGTTTGTCCACTTACAAGTATACCTACCTCCCTCCTGCACAGCCCCCACCTTCTTCATCCCTAACTCCTGGCAACAACTAATCTGTTTTTCATTTCAAGAACTTTGTCATTTCAAAAATGTCACATAAATGGAATCATACAGTATGCAACCTTTTGGGACTGGCTTTTTCAGTCAGCATTATTCCCTAGAGATGGATCCAAGCTGTGTACATCAATAGTTTGCTCCTTTTTATTGTGGAGAAGTATTCTGTGGTATGTACCACAGTTTGTTCAACCATTCCTGTTGAAGGGCATCTAGATTTATTTTGATTTTTGGCTTATAAATAATGTTGCTGTGAACATTCCTGTACAGTTTTTTTTTTTTTTGGTGTGTGAATGTATGTTTTCATTTCTCTGGGGGTAAATATCCAAGAATGCAATTACTAAGTGTTATGTAGTTGCATATTTAGCTTTATAAGAAACTACCAAGCTGTTTTTCAGAGTAGCTCTACCATTTACATTCCACAGTAAAGTATGGATGATCCAGTTTCTCCATGTCCTTACCAGCATTTGGTGTTGTTACTCTTTTAGCCATTCTGATAGGTATGTAGTGATATCTCCTTGTGGGCTTAATTTATGTTTCCTTGACGGATAAAGATATTGAACATCTTTTCATGTGCATATTTGCCATCTATAATCCTCCTCTGTGAAATAGCTGTTCACATCTTTTGTCCATTTTCTAATTGAATTTTTTTTGTTGTTTTTACTGTTAAGTTTTGAGAGTTTATTATATATTCCACATACTGATCCTTTGTTGGGTATGAGGTTTGCAAATATTTTCTCACACTCCATAGCTTGTCTTTTCATCCCCTGCACATGAACTTTCACAGAGCAAAATCCTATTTGTCAAGTTTTTTCTTTTATTAACAAAATTATTCATAGTGACTTTTCAGTGTAAATATAATGTAAATAACACCATGAGCTTTTAGAACACCTTTATAGAGTGGTCTTTTAAAACACAAATCTAATTATGTTGCTTTCCTATCTCAAACTTTTCAATGGTTTCCCCCTGCCCTTAGGAAAAGCTTAGGTAGAAATCCATAACATGGATGAGCCTTCCACTACAGCTGCTGCTCCTCCTTGTGCCCTCTGCACTTCAGCCAGATGGGAACATCTCTCTTCAATCCTGGGACCATTTTCTTCTATCCATTTCTCCCTGTACAGATTCTTTCAGATTTAGCTGCTTTGCTATGGTTCTCCTGTGTATTCCATAGCACTGACATCTACACTCTGGAAGCATTTGCTGCAGGCAATTGCAAGTGCCCATTTTTCTGCCTCCCCCATTCTCTAAGCTCCTTGAAGTCAATAACTATTCATTTCCATCATTCCATTGCTGTCAAAATGCCCAACACACAGGAAGCCCAGACCTAAGTGACTAACTCTGGAGATGTGCAGCCCTCCTCACAGCACCACAAGAAAAGAAAACAAAATCTAAAGAAAATATTAGCTCCCAAACTGACATCATCCACACCCTCTCTGATCAACCTTCAAAACATTCTGTAACTATAAAGTGGCCTTTATTATTGAGCCCTTGTGTGGCATCGTATTTTAGCAAAGTTTTGTACAATTAGCTCATCAATTGTTTCTCAAAACCCTTGGTGAGAAATGTTTACCCTCTCTTAGAGATGAGGGAATCGAGCCCAGATAGACCAGAAAACCACATCTAAAGTCCTATGGCAAATCATTAGCCCTCACCACACAGTGGTTTTGTCTCCTTGGCTTTGACTGGGATGTGCAATTGCTCACAGCATTGTAGAAATCCACAAAGCCTGGGGAACACACAGAAGGGGTTATTCAATTCAACATTCTCTTTTGGACCATTCAGAAAAGTCAAATGTTGATCATTTTAAATGTCTGTTGAATGTATGAATTGAACAAATACATTTTTATTTTTCTTTCTGTGAAACTAATCATTCCTGTTTAAAAAGGTACGCTCTTTATGAGTCCTGCTTATCTCTAGCTTACTGGATAGTTTCTGGTTTATGGAATAGACTCTAAAAAATTAGTAGAATCATTTATACAGCTTCTATAATATTGTAAGCAGAAAAATATCTTCACAAATGTCACTAGTTATTTCCTTTAATTTTTGCACAAGTTGATCTGTATATCTTCTTCATTAGCTGAGAGGTATTAAACATGACCATTGCAATCCACTCACACTGTCAGATCAACTTGAGCTCTCTGTACCAGGCCCTTACAAAAGGAAGAAGGGCCTACTGAAAGGGAACAGTGAACAATAAAGAAAACTTAGAAAGAAGACCAAGCAGCTACCATCTCCCCTACCTAACCTCCTTTTTAACTCTAAGGTAGTATATTCTCAGAATCCACAGTCTCCCTTGACATGGCTGTGGCTGGGACAACTGTAGGATTAGAGCATCTTCTTGCAACAAGGCTTGACTGATGCTAAATCTTCACTCCTGCCCTTTTGTCCAGAGAGAGGTGAACAGGGAATAAGGCAGCCTCAAAGCATCATCTGAAGCAGCAAGCTAGATCCAACGGCAACCCCAACCTGTCCAGGGCTCAGGTCTCACCGCATATGCATTCATCAGAGTAGGACCTCCTCATTAGTGGTGTATCTGCCCCAGGACTATTGCATTAGGAGCAGAAGTTTACTTCCCATAGGATTATTTTCTCGTAAACCCACCTAGAAATAGATTATAGGCTCAATGGTTTTATCTTGCTTATGAAGATAATATTTAACTAATTAATACTGGGACTTAAAACATTTTTGTGGTCTGGTTTTACTCAAACAAGCACCACCTAAACAAGTAGAATATTCAGATGGTTTTTAAGAGTTTGCAGAGAAAAAAAGATGTATGGGGTGAGGAACTACAGGGAGCAAGGGGCTTTACCTCACCGATAAAGCAACTTCTGAGCAGAGGCATAGAGGGAGGTAAAGAGAAGAACCATGAGGATATTTGTAAGTGCAAAGACCTGATGCATTGAATGGCTTGCAAGTTTGAGGAGAAGCAGAGACGAGTGTGGCTGGAGATGAGTAAGGAGTGAGGGGAAATAAAATCAGACAGGTATTGTGTGTGTGTGAGAGAGAGAGAGAGAGAGAGCACACGACATCCTATGTAAGACTTTATAGACCTTCCTGACGGTTTTGTCTCTTAATCTGAATGAGATGGGAAGTCCGTGGACAGTTTTGAGCAGACAATTGACAGAAACAGGCATCAATATTCTTTAAAGACCATTGCAGTTGCTGTGGTGAAAATAGATTAGAGGAGTGCTGTGGTAGGCAGAATTCTCTCCCCACAAGATTTCTGTCCCTTGGTTATTGAGTCAAACAAGAATGTAGGTCCTCCTGGAATTAAAGTTATCAATTAGCTGACTTTAAAATAGGGAACTATCCTGAATTATCTGGATGGGTCCAATCTAATCACTTGGGCCCTTGAAGATGGAGAAACTTCTCTGTCCGGAAAGAGAAAAAGAGAGGCGGAACAAGAGAAAGGCTGGGGAGAGATGAGGCAAAGGGAAGGTCAGAGAGATTTGAGAGAAAAGAGGGCCAATGAGCTGAGGAGTACAGATGATCTTTAGAAGTTGAGAACAACCCCCAGCAAACAGTCAACAAGGAATTGGGGACTTCAATCTTATATTCAGGTGGAGCTGAATTCTGCCAACAACTTGAATGAGCTTGGAAATAGATTCATCCCCCAAACCTCCAGAAAGAAACACAATCCTGTCTTGACACTTTTAACTTTGTGAGATCCAGAGCAGAAAGCCAGCCAAGCCTATTGGACTGGTATGGAACTGTGAGATAATAATTAGTGCTATTTTAAGTTGCTGAGTTTGTGATAATTTGTTACAGTGGCAACAGAAAACAAATACAGGAATAAGGGCATTAATTAATAAATTATTGCAAAATTCTAACAAAGATGGTGGCATGGACAAGATAATGGTATGGAAATATATATATTTTGAAGGTAGAGCCTGAAAAATTTGCTAATGTGGTGTATGATTGGGAGGAAAGGGTGACTCCAAGACTTTTGGTCTTGGAGTTTTTTATTTATTGAGATAAAGTGAACTGGGGAAGAAATAGTTTGCAAAAATGAATTTAGAGAGGGAGGTAGGAATCAAATTATTGAGTATTCTGAGTCATGTTAAAAATTTTGAACTTTATATTAAAATTAAAGGAAAATTACTGAATACTTTTAAGTAGTCAAAGGTTAGAATCAGATGGCCATTTTAAAAAGATCACTCAGTAGCCCTTACAGGGTGAAAATGATGTAGTGAAATATCTCCACCCAATGTAAGAAGGTAACTGGAAATTTTTTTTCCACGTTTAGGAAGACCAGGGAAGCCAGGATTCTCCAAAGTGGAACCAAGTAGAGTTTCCTAGCTCATAAGAACAGAATTTCTCAAATATAAGTAATAAAATAACAGATGATCTCAAAGGAAAACATCCCCATAGGTTTTCAGGATTTATTTAAACTATTTTAATTATAGTTACTTAAATGTGTAACAACACTAGGCATAAACAAAGTATAATTATTGTTCTTATACCACTATAAAACCAAATAAACTTACAAAGTAAGCCCTAGGAAAAATATAACTAAAATTTAGAACATAAATAAACTGTATGGAAGATGTTTGTGAAAACTAAATTGTCAAAGCTTGATTTAGTAGTTAAAAGATGCAGTCTGTACAAATGCCTGTTCACAAATGATTTGTATAAAACGATGTTACTAACATCAAAGCTTTGCTTGCTAGCTCAAGGTAATCAGATATGTTAGTCAAAATTTTGCCAATGGGCAATCTTTAAAGGGTATTTTTAATGAGGCACAATTTGATAATTCTGTAAAGTTTACTTACTGGTATCAAGATGATATAGCATTGCAACATCATAGATATCTTCATTAACATGGTATTTAATAGTTCTTTTGGACTTTCTTCATCACATATTTACTTCTTCACTTATTACCAATGAATTATCGCAAATTGACACATATAACGGTGGAATTTGTTTAATACATCTACTTACAACACAGCCCACTTTATTTGACAATTAGCATGCCTATATGCAAAAAAGGCAAAGATAAGAAGATAAAATTAAAATGATTAGAAAGGAAGAAACAAAATTGAAATTACTTGCAAATAATGTTTTTGCATAAAAACTAAAAAAGATTATTTAGATAAATTAGAAGAATTAGCAAGAGATTTGGAAACAAAATTAAATAAATATCAGTATGCATCTCACATGCCAGCAGTAGTTGAAAAATAAAATTAAAGAGATTATTTAAAGTAGCATTAAAACAAGTACTTAATAATAAATATAACAGGAGATATGCAATACCTTTCTTGAGAAACATAAAACTTTTCTGAATGGCAATCTAATGACATGGAAAGCCAGACCAGGTTAGAAAATGCTAAATGACGAGTTAATGGGTGCAGTACACCAACATGGCACATGTATACATATGTAACAAATCTGCACATTGTGCACATGTACCCTAAAACTTGAAGTATAATAATAATAATAAAAAAAGAAAATGCAATATTTTAAAAAGGTCTATTTCCCCTAAGTTGATTCAATAAAGTAGTAACTGTATCCCCAACAGGTATTTTTCTTTGAAAATTGATGCTCTTTTTTATTTTATATATTCAAAGAACCAAAAATAACCAAGACGCTTTTGAAGAAAAAATAGGTGAGAGTGACACCCCAATTGTACATGCTTCATATAAGGCATTATCAAGCTAAATTGATTAAGACTATAAGGTGTTGGTGCAGGCATCGAAAATAGACCAATAGAACAAATTAGACTCCCAAAACACACTCATCAATATATGGGCCTTTGAAACAAGATGGGGTGGGGTCATGCTGCAGGTCCATGGGGAATTAAAGATTTTTTTTAAAAAAATCATTCTCAGAAATTGGTTATCCTTTTAGACAAATGTAAAGTTGTATGTCTTTCTCATGCCATGTAAAAATAATCATAGCTGGATTTAAAATCTAAATGAGAAAGCCAAAATTACTAAACTTTAAAAAGTTAATAAAAGAGTATATCTTTATGACTTTAGGGTAGGAAAGAATTTTGTAAATATGGTACAAAGAACATAAGCCATAAAACATAGATTAATTGAATTACATTACAGTTAAGAACTTCTGCTCATCAAAAGATACCACAAAGAGAGTAAAATGACAGTCTACAAACTGGGAGAGAATATTGATAACACATCAATAAGTTGGGAGAAACTAGAGCTTCTTCTTAATGTGGGAAGGACCTAGATAAAAGGGAAGGTAAAGACAAGGGCCAGGGACAGGACATTGTGACAATCAGTAGATTGAGTTCTTTTGGGGAGAAGGAAAAGACATCTGAGCATTCAAGTAGGTACCTGCCTTTGATAACTATGGAGACGCTTGCCCATTAGCAGGAAGGATGAAAAAGACGGGTATAGATACAGGAATAGTTGTAGACTTGCTGGTGCTAAGACGGAGGAGCTCATGAGTAATAGTTTCTATTTTTTTTTAATTTTAAGTTCTGGGATACATGCACAGAACGTGCAGGTTTGTTACATAGGTTTACATGTGCAATGGTGGTTTGCTGCACCTATTGACCCATCCTTTAAGTTCCCTCCCCTCGTCCCCCACTCCCCAACAGGCCCTGGTAGGTGATGTTCCCCTCCGTGTGTCCATGTGTTCTCATTGTTCAACTTCCACTTATGAGTGAGAACATGCGATGTTTGGTTTTCTGTTCCTGTGTTAGTTTGCTGAGGATGATAGCTTCCAGCTTCATCCATGTCCCTGCAAAGGACATGATCACATTCCTTTTTATGGCTTCAAAGTATTCCATGGTATATATGTACCACTTTTTCTTTATCCAGTCTATCAGTGATGGGGATTTGGCTTGGTTCCATGACTTTGCTATTATAAATAGCGCTGCAATAAACATACGTGTGTATGTGTCTTTATAGTAGAATGATTTATATTCCTTTGGGTATATACCGAGTAATAGAATTGCTGAGTCAAATGGTATTTCTGGTTCTAGATCCTTGAGGAATTGCCATACTGTCTTCCATAATGGTTGAACCAATTTACATTCCCACAAGCAGTGTAAAAGTGTTCCTATTTCTCCACAACCTCACTGGCATCTATTGTTTCTTGACTTTTTAATAATTGCCATTCTGACTAGCGTGAGATGGTATCTCATTGTGGTTTTGATTTGCATTTCTCTAATAATCAGTGATGTTGAGTTTTTTTTTTTCATATGTTTGTTGGCCTCATAAATGTCTTCTTTTGAGAAGTATCTGTTCATATCCTTTATCCACTTTTTGATAGGGTTGTTTGCTTTTTTCTTGTAAATTTGTTAAGTTCCTGTAAATTCTGGATATTAGATCTTTGTCAGATGGGTAGATTGCAAAAATATTCTCCCATTCTGTAGGTTGCCTCTTCACTCTGATTATAGTTTGTTTTGCTGTATAGAAGCTCTTTAGTTTAATTAGATCTCATTTGTCAATTTTGGCTTTTGTTGCAGTTGCTTTTGGCATTTTCGTCATGAAGTCTTTGTCCATGCCTATGTCCTGAATGGTATTGCCTAGGTTTTCTTCTAGGGTTTTTATGGTTTTGGGTTTTACATTTAAGTCTTTAATCCATCTTGAGTTAATTTTTGTATAAGGTGTAAGGAAGAGGTCCAGTTTCAGTTTTCTGCATATGGCTAGCCAGTTTTCCCAGCACCATTTATTGAATAGGAGATCCTTTCCCCTTTGCCTGTTTTTGTCAGGCTTGTCGAAGACCAGATGGCTGTAGATGTGTGGTGTTATTTCTGAGGTCTCTGTTCTGTTTCTTTGGTCTGTATATCTGTTTTGGTACCAGTACCATGCTGTTTTGGTTACTGTAGCCTTCTAGTATAGTTTGAAGTCAGGTAGCATAATGGCTCCAGCTTTGTTCTTTTTGCTTAAGATTGTCTTGGCTATATGGGGCCTTCTTTGATTCCATATGAAATTTAAAGTATTCATTTAAATTATGTGAAGAATGACAATGTTAGCTTGATGGGAATAGCATTGAATTTATAAATTTCTTTGGGCAGTATGGCCATTTTCACAATATTGATTCTTCCTGTCAATGAGGATGGAATGTTTTTCCATTTGTTTGTGTCCTATCTTATTTCCTTGAGCAGTGGTTTGTAGTTCTCCTTGAAGAAGTCCTTCACATCCCTTGTTAGCTGTATTCCTAGGTATTTTATTCTCTTTGTAGCAATTGTGAATGGGAGTTCATTCATGATTTGGCTCTCTGCTTCTCTATTGTTGATGTAAAGGAATGCTTGTGATTTTTGCACATTGATTTTGTATCCAGAGACTTTGCTGAAGTTGCTTATCAGTTTAACGGGTTTTTGGGCTAAGATGATGTGGTTTTCTAAATATAAAATCATGTCGCCTGCAAGCAGGGACAATTTGACTATCTCTCTTTCTATTTGAATACGCTTTATTTCTTTCTCTTGCCTGATTGCCCTGGCCAGATCTTCCAATACTGTGTTGAATAGGAGTGGTGAGAGAGGGCATCCTTGTCTTGTACCAGTTTTCAAAGGGAATGCTTCCTGCTTTTGCTCATCCAATATGATATTGGCTGTGGGTTTGTCATAAATAGCTCTTATTATCTTGACATATGTTCCATCAATATCTAGTTTATTGACAGTTTTCGGCATGAAGGGATTTTGAATTTTATCAAAGGTCTTTCTTCATCTATTGAGATAATCATGTGTTTTTTGTCATTGGTTCTGTTTACGTGATGGATTAAGTTTATTGATTTGCATGTGTTGAACCAGCCTTGCATCCCAGGGATGAAGCTGACTTGATCGTGGTAGATATGTTTTTTGATATGCTGCTGGATTCAGTTTGCCAGTATTTCATTGAGGATTTTCGCATCAATGTTCATCAGGGATATTGGCCTGAAGTTTTCTTTTTTTGTTCTGTCTCTGCCTGGTTTTGGTATCAGGATGATGCTGGCTTCATAAAATGAGTTACAGAGGAGTCCCCCCTTTTCAATTGTTTGGAATAGTTTCAGAAGTAATGGTACTAGTGTCTCTTTGTACCTCTGGTAGAATTTGGCTGTGAATCGCTCTGGTCCTGGGCTTTTCTTTTTTTGGCTGGTAGGCTATTAATTACTGCCTCAATTTCAGAACTTGTTATTGGTCCATCCAGAGATTCGACTTCTTCCTGGTTTAGTCTTAGGAGGGTTTATGTGTCCAGGAATTTATCCATTTCTTCTAGATTCTCTAGTTTATTTGCATAGAGGTGATTGTTTATAGTATTCCCCGATGGCAGTTTTTATTTCTGTGGGTTCAGTGATGATATCCCCTTTATCATTTTTTATTGTGTCTATTTGATTTTTCTCTCTGTTTTCTTTTTTATTATTCTAGCTCACTGTCTATCTATTTTGTTAATTTTTTCAAAAAACCAGCTCCTGGATTCATTGATTTTTTTGGAGGGTTTTTCATGTCTCTATCTCCTTCAATTCTGCTCTGATCTTAGTAATTTCTTGTCTTCTGCTAGCTTTTGGATTAGTTTGCCCTTGCCTCTCTAGCTCTTTTAATTGTGGTGTTAGAGTATTGATTTGAGATCTCTCTACCTTTCTGATGTGGGCATTCATTCCTATAAATTTCCCTTTTAGCACTGCTTTAGCTGTGTCCCAGAGATTCTGGTACATTGTCTCTTTGTTCTCATTGGTTTAAAAGAACTTCATTATTTCTGCCTTAATTTCATTATTTACCCAGTAGTCATTCAGAAGCAGGTTGTTCAGTTTCCATGTAATTGTGTGGTTTTGAGTGAGTTTCTTAATTCTGAGTTCTAATTTGATTGCCCTATGTTTTGAGAGATTGTTATGATTTTCGTTCTTTTGCATTTGCTGAGGAGTGTTTTACTTCCAATTATGTGGTTGATTTTAGAATAAGTGCCATGTCGCACTGCAAAGAATGCATATTCTGTTGATTTGGGGTGGTGAAATTTGCAGCTGTGTCTTTGAAATAAGCCCAGTGATTACAGTGGGATCCTGGTGTGTCTTCACTAGTAGTGGCAGCTACAGTGGCCATGATGGTATTGGAGAAAATGCACAGCAAGCATGAGGATTGTAGTCTCTCAATGGACAGGAGAGTAGGGTCTCCAGGTGGTCCAGTTTACTCTTCCCATGAACCATTTTTTGTTACATGTACTTTAAATAGTTCCCCATATACTAGCTGATAACTATTATTCTTTCCTCCTTCCCCAAGGCAAAAGATACTTAACTTTTATTTTATTTTAAAAATTTCCTTAAAATACAAAAATCTTTTATAGATTTAGAGGGTACAAGTGCAGATTTATTACATACATATATTGTGCTGTAGTGAAGTCTGGGGTTTTAGTGTAGCCATCACACACATAGTGAAGGAATTTAACTTTTAAACTATCTCATTTAAATACTTGAAGTTGTGTCATTTAAAATTGCATATAAATGTTTTAAAGTATAAGTAAATGAATTATTTACTCTAACTGAATATTGAATCTTTGCTAGTTGTGTTGTTTTGGGGCATCCACTGGGTGCTGTGATAATTCCAGATAATAAGGCGGTATCCATATAAAAGAATTATACTGTATGTTAAAAGGCACATAGCATAATGGAAAGGTTTATGGATATGGCTGGGCAGGTGTGGTAGCCTTATTATGTGTATCAGTAAGGTTGTTAGTTGTAAGCAGTAACGCAAATGTTAGCTGATTTTGGCAGAAAATCTATTTAAGAAAAGAAGCATGGGCAGCTGAGGGGCCCACAGGAAGGACAGAGGCAGAGCCACCATGTGCTGACAGAGCCTGCATCTGCCAGGGGCACCTTTTCCTTTTTCATATGAAGGCCCTTGACAGACAAGCTGTGGCTTTGGGTGGAGAATCCAGTATAGAGTTACAGAATGTAGAAACTGTCTCGTCACACCAGAGGGCTTGTTTCGGGAAGCCATGCAGTGCTCACACCACTGGCGTTCCCACTACTACTGCCAGAGAGTGCATCCTCCACTGTTGCCAGAGAGTGCATCCTCCATATCTCTGTGGCTCCACGGTGGGGTGTGTTGGGCTTAACTGCAAACAAGGTGGGGAAAGCAAGTTCCTGATGTATTCAACTTTAATAATGAGCAGAGCCTGAGTCTCCCACTGAGACTCATAAGGTGAGCAATTCCCCAAACACTGAAAGGGGAGTCAGACACTGAACAGCTAAGAATTGCCACACCATTTATTTGTTGTTGTTCTTTCCTGTCCTTTTTGTTATTGTTGTTGTTTTACCTTTATTTCACCTTTACGCTGGCATTCTGAAACATAGACAAATGAGTTAGTGCCTAAATGCAATGGAAGACTACAGGAAATCAGCACAAAGCTAAAAAAGAACCAACCCATGTATAAGTGAGGACCTTAACTGAAAAAGCAAATTATTTTTGCAATAATTGTATTGTCCTTCAGGCTACTGATATTTGTTCCATTCACATGGATGACTGTGTGACATGAAGAGATGTGATTGTTGAGGTGTTAGTTTTCAATAAAAGCACTATGTATGATTAAGCTTAACTCAATTTTTTATTTATTAAAATTTGACCACATTATTACTATTGTTATTATCTATATCTACAATGTATAATGAATAGATGTAGCACTCTTCATCCTTGAAAATGTTGTCCTTTGATTTCTCACTTTTTCTTGCTTTTTGTTTTCTTCTTTTCCATCATTTTCTTCCTGCTGCCATAGCAACATGTATCTCAACCGTAAGCCATCTGAACTTGATCCTGGTTAAATTTAATTTAATTCAGTAAGTATTTATTATTTGCCTAATATGTACAACACATCACAGATGTTCTAAAAAATTCAGCAAAAAGTTCTTTCCTTGTCTCACTTCTCACAGCTTATAACATATCAAACTGCACCAGGTAGATAGTTGATAGAAATGGTGAGATGAATGGACAGATGTAGGCAAGATACACATAAAACAAATGAATCAAAGTTATCCATCAAATCTCAGTACAACAATCCTCTTTGTCACAACTTCTTTGTTATTGTTGCTGTTACTCTTTTATGTCTAAAACAACCTTATTTTAGTATACAATTCAATATCAAACATTAAATCCCTTTAGAAATTCACTATATAGAAGATAAAACCAATGATTTATAAATAAAAGAAAGCATATTTCATACAAGAAAAAATTTTAGAAATGCCTTTTATTTTTAACTCTTTTTTCTAATATTCAGCAAATATATTCTCATAAAATAGTGAATGATTTTAAGAAACATGCATTTGAGATTAAGAAAGAAAGTTCTGAGGCACTTATAATTTATAAGAATTTAATTAAGATGTAATTGTTTAAATATGTTGTTTACAATTAGAGTCAACTTATTGGTAATATCATCTTTTCAATGCTTAACCAGGGCTGCAGTACCTCTGCCCTAGGAGGGCAATCATTCAGTGCTTGCCAAAGCCCAGCAGAATAGGGCTAAATGGCCCCTGTGAGGAGCATGTTAAAATCTGATTAAGTCTCTAATAAGAATGCAACTATAGCTTTTAATCTAAATATTATCTTGTCACTTAACAGTTCTATAGACATGAGTTAGCTATTACTAGTAAATTTATGATGAGTTGAAGATACTTCTGCAAATGACAATTGGTGGTGGTGATGTGATAAAGACAGGGCTAACTAACACATGCTGGAAGAAAAAGACTCTACTCTTTAAAAACAAATAGGTTACACATAGAATCAACCTAAAATATCAAGTTCTTGGATTTGAACTTGGAGACATTCAAGCAAAGTATGCACAGCTGTGCTCTGGTTACATATTCTTAGTCTGACTGGTGCCCCCTTTCCTATAGCTGCTTTTCCTAGCCTCATCATTTCTTTCAAGTCCCCTACTCAATTCCATTGCTTTTATGAACAAATGACCTTGCCTCCTCTCTTTCAGTGAAAACAGAAGCTTTCAGGGTGGAACTCTTGCAAAGTCCCAACATTTGTACTGATGTAAAAAGATGTGTAATTATTTGCTTAATGTCTTTTCGTGTCCCCTGCTCCAGGAGATCAGGAATGGAACCTGGTCACCAGTGTCCCCAGGACCCAGTACAAGGTCTACTAGGGGTTCACTAGGTATCTATTATCTAAATAAATGAACATCCTTCCTTCCTTTGTTTATATTTTTTTGTTTCAAAAACAAGAGCTTTATTTTGAATATAATATATGATCATGGTAAAAAGCCAGAATAGTACCAACTTATATGAAAGGAAATATTAGTTTCCCTCCCTGGTAAATTCCACAGTCTCCCTTCCTTACTTCTTTATTTTCCAGCTTCAGAAGCTACCCTTCCCCTGCACCCCAGATTTCATCCTTTTGTTGTGATCTCCTGTAGGAAACACTTCTTTCTTTGGACAGCCAGGAAGCAGGGCTTGGCAGGGCAGTTACACAAAGTGGCCAAAAGAGTTGCAACAGCTGAGGGTGAAGGCAGCAGTATGGCCAAGCAGAGCAGTGGCCGGATGCCAAAGATGCTAAATCAATCATCAGGTCCTAAGGGTGAAGAAAATAAGAGGCAAAGCAAAAGGTCAGAGGAATGCAGGAGGAGGTCAAGAATGTAAATGCAACGCATGACTAAGTGAGAAGGTCCAGGACCACACGGGTGAATGGGAAAAGGATACTAAAAAAGGCATTTAAAATTTTTATTTTTGGGGATATAACTATGGGGGATATGGACCAGTGGGTTAATGAAGGCTGGGTTGACACTGACCCCTCCTCAGCTTCAACCCTATTAATTATTCTCTCTCTCTCCAACATATTGAACACCTCCCTTTTCTCTAGTTGTCTTTTTCAGACCACAAATATGTTGTCTTTTAACCTAAAAACAAAAGAAGAAAAGAAACCAAAAACCTGTCAACCTGGTCTTCCCCTCCAACTACCTCACCCAATCTCTGCTCTGCCAATTCTAGACACATTTCAAAGAATAATGTAAACTCATGGCTGGGCACAATGGCTTATGCCTGTAATCACAGTACTTTGGGAGGCTGAGGCAGGAGGATAGCTTGAGGCCAGAGCTTGACACCAGCCTGGGCAACAAAGCAAGACTTCATCTCTACAAATAAAAGATAAAAGTAGCTGGGCGTGGTGTGTGCCTGTAGTCTCTGCTACTTGGGAGGCTGAGGTGGGAGGATCATTTGAGCCCGGGAGTTTAAGCTTGCTGTGAGCTATGATGATGCCAGTGTACTCCAGCCTGGGCAACAGAGTAAGACACTGTCAAAAAAAAAGAAAGAAAGAAGGAAAGAAAAAGAAAGCGAAGAAGAAAGAAAGGAAAGAAAGAAAGAAAGAAAGAAAGAGAAAGAAAGAAGGAAAGACAGAAAGAAAGAAAGAAGAAAGAAAGGAAGGAAGGAGGGAGGGAGGGAAAGAAGGAAGGAAAAGAAAAGAAAAGAGAGAGAAGGAAGGAAGTAAAGGAAGGAAGGAAGGAAAGGAAGGAAGGAAGGAAAGACGGAAGAAAGGAAGGAAGGAAGGAAGGGAGGAAGAAATATAAGCTCACTGTCTGTATTTCTCATTTCCTTTTCACTATCCAGCTTAATTGGTCTTCCTTCTATCCCACTTTATTGAAAACTTTTTGCCAAAGTTGCCAATGACCTTCTTATTTCTATCATTAGATTTGGATGACATGCTTCATTTTTATCTGAACTGACTCTGTGAAGGTCTGATGCTGTTGCCTACTTCCTCCTTGTTTTGCCTTTCTGACATGCCCCTCTGCTGGTTCTGCTCCTCTCTCTGGCTTATTCTTTCATTTTCTTTGTGAGGCTGTATTTCTTCACTCATATATATATATATATATATATATATATATTTTTTTTTTTCCTATGGACATCCAGGTAACATGGTATGGTAGGGAACTGGTTGTATGTGTTTTCCCACTTGTTAGCATTTGAGTAGTCAACTTGCCAAGGCACCTGACCCTGAAACACCTTCTGTGGATGACTGTCTAGGATTTCCATCCATCTCTACCCCAACACATACACTTTCAATTATTTCACTGCTTCCTTTTTCTTACAAGAAAGCATCTTTTTTAGCCATTTCATAATATTATTACTATCATTACAATTTATTGAGCACTTGCTATTTACCAAGGATTCCACTGGGTGCTTCACTTTCCTTCATCTATTTGTTTATTCAGTTATTTCTTTAGTCTGTAAATATTTACTGACATTTATGGCACAGGCACTGTGGATATATAAACTCTAGTTGTTAGAAGTAACTTAGAAGTAGCATATTGCTATTTTACAGATGATGAAACCAAGGCTGGGGGTTGTCCAACCTGCCTCCAGCTCTAAGAACACTCAAGAGGAAGACCCAGGATTTGAATTCACAGCTCTTTCCCTTTCATTAATATACCTCAAAAATATTCTATCTTTCATAAAGCACCTTATGGCAGGTGCGTTCCTACCCTTTATCTCATTATACCAGTGAGAACATTAGCCTATGGCTTGATGTCACCTTTGAAAACAGGAGGGGAAGATTTATAGCAATGAAAACTCAAAATTCCATAACTTTGTTATTAATACCATCACGTTTCCACAAGATCCAGACAAGGCTGCTTATAAATTATGTAGCTTGAAAATCACTTATTTATTCATGTCTTCATGGTGTTTACAATATAGTGGTAGGGGCTGGGGTATATTTTTACATCTGAGAAAAGGCCCAGGGAAGAAAAGAGTACAATTAAATAAAAGCTATTAACAAAGAACTGTGGCCAAGATTAATGGGGGGTGGTGGTGGTGAGCAGGGTTAGGGAAGTTTCCCTAAAGAAGTGATATGTGAGTTAAAATATGAGAGATGAATAGAAGTTACCTTATAAATGGCAGAAGGACACTTCAAGATGAGGGAACAGCATGTGCGAGGGATCTGGAGGAAGAAGGCGTGACGCTTTCAAAACCTACAAAGCTAGAGCACAGAGTGAGACATAATAAATGAAGCCAAGAGACAAAGGCTGGGCCAGATCATGCACACTATGCATCATTCTGTTTATCTTAAGAATGATGATCCAGCAGGATGGAGGTCATATAATCAGACTGGTGTTTTGAAAAGTTCACTCTGGGTACGATGCAGAGAATCTGCTGGAGGGGCCCAGGAAAAATGCATGCAGAATAGTTAGGAAGCTATTGCTGAAGTTGGAATAAGAAATGATGATGGTTGGGACTAGTTGAGTGGTCACAGAGGAAGAGATAAGTAAATGAATTTGATACATATTGAGGAGGTACAATCAGGAGGACTTGCTGACTGTTTAAATAAGAAGTTGATGGAGAAGAAGTTATCAAGGTTAAATCCCAGAAGTCTGAGATGCCTAATTTGATAAATGATGGTGCCATTTGCTGAGAGAGAGAAAAGCAAAGGTTAGGAAAATCATGGTTTTGTTGGGTCATGTGGGTTAAATTGAAGACTTTGTGGCATGATAAGATAACTGCTGGATGTATAGGTCTGTAACTCCAAGCAGAGATCTGAGATGAAGATATGAGCTCAGGAGCTGTCATCAGTGGAGTATTAGTTAAGCCATGGGCATGGATGAGATCAAGCAGGGAAGTAATATAGAGTGAGAAGAGAAGAGAAGAGTAGAGAAGAGAAGAGAAGAAAGAGAAGAGAAGTGAAGAGACGAGAAGAGGGCCTAGGATTCATCCATCTGGAATGCCTTGTGTAAAGGATTCATTTCCTAGCCATTTAAAAGGAAAACACTTTCCGAAGAAATTTATGTGCTTCTTAATATTTCTCTTAACCAAGTATTAAAATCCTAACATCAACAAAAAAGTTAAAAAAATCTACACCTGTCTGGCTTCAAATGAATCAAATGTAAGATTTCACTTATAAAAAAATTCCAAAGCATGCGTTTATTTAAGTTTAAGAGTGAACACATGGTGTTTGTTATAGGTCTCTGTACTTTTGTATGAATGAAATATTTCATAATTAAACAACAGCAATAACAAAAATTTCCAGGGAATAAAGCCTAAGCCAATAAAACTCGGCCCAGAAAATTAAATACCAAAAGCAATTTAGGGAAGAATAAAGGATTAGAGGCATTGCCAAGGAGCTCCTTGACCCCAATAGAAAACAGCTTAGGTACAACCTAGAAAGATGTACCCTGAAAGATTCTGCTGATAACTTTTTAAGGTAGAAATTTCTAGCATTATAGACACAATAAGTTAAAGTTTGGCTCTGTTTATATTTCAGGGCAACTAGGAGTAAGAAGCTGGCCAATATTATTTTCTTTAGCTGTGCAGAAAGGTGGTTGGTTTGGTTTAATGAATGAATGTAACTCTTCTGAGCCTATATGCACACGAATATTATTTAAAATGTGGAAGAAATCTATGTCTGAAACAAGAATGGTGATCTACAAGTGATCTATAATGAGAAGTGGCTTTGGTAGTATAACCAAATAATGAAACTACACTTCTACTCCCCAATACTATCTACTACTACCATCACTAGCATCCCTTCCTCTCCACTACCCACAAGAGATGATTTTAAAAGGGATCTTTTCTCTAAGAGCTTACTCAGGCTCTTGTATTAAAGGATATATGGCTTAGTATTGGAGGTTTCTGTACCTAACAAAATGCAAACTATTGTTCTGAGAAACTATCCTTGAGAAATGTGAGACAATTAGAAAAAAGAAAGGGGCATAGCTATAACTCCCAATGGTGAGATTATTTCAAAAGAAACTGAGCATGGAGGGCTACACCTAGCCTAGTTTATTCTGCCAGACTGGGGTTTCCCAAGCCCACCTTGGACCATCCTGTTGGAGTTACTTCCATGGTGTTACTCTAGTAGTAAATAACTCAGACCTAGGAAAATAGTTAATAATGATTGGGTCCCATGGGCTAGCTGGTGGGGAAAGGGAAAGGTCCTTGGGGTGAAGCCAACCCCTGGAGTACTGAAGGGACAGCTACACTGTCAAGGCTTGAAGAAGAAATCCTCCCACAGGGCTCATGGACTTAAGGTAGAGTCTAAATTACTCATGAGATGATGGCTATGAATGGTTTAATTTCTTAAAGACTCTTATTTGGCACAGGAAAAGTATGTTTAGCATATAGCTGTTTCTTCCTTATGTGCTCTAGTTTCTTTTCATTTCTGCCAAACTTTCAGCAAAATGTGATTAAGCCATATAATTTTATGTAGTGATATATAGAGAAAAACAAGGAGATGACAAAAATGGAAGTATTCATCCACTCTCTGAAGTGGGTTGAATAATGTCCTCCAATAATCCACTTAATGATGTAATCTTATTTGGATGAAATGTCTTTGCAGATGTTAAGGTAATGATCTCTAGATGAGCTCATGCTGGACTAGGGTGAGCCCTAAATCCAATGACTAGTGTCCTTATAAGAGACAGAGGGGAAGACACAAAAAGGAAGAGGCCACATGAAGACAGAGATAGAGATTGGACAGGCCCACAAGCTAAGGAACACCCACCCCCTAGCAAAACATATACCTCTACAAAGACCCTTGCAAAGGTGGCAGCATTTATTTGAGAATGAACGGAATTCTTGTTTTAAGCTGTAAAGAGAAGCAAAGTAGGCAATGGTCTCTGGCCAAGAGCAGTGGAGCAGAGTTGAACATGCAATTTGAAGGATCAGTAGTCAAGCGGACCACTTAGAAGCAGACATAAGTCAACTCCTTTTCTCGTTTCTTAAGAATGCTAGACGAAGGGGATCCAAAGGGAGAGAAAAATGATGCTTGGTTTCTGTCGGAATCTCCCTTCAGATTTCAGGATGGTGTTCCTCATATTCTCTTTCCCTTCCGTTTTTCTTCTCATCACCTTCAGAATTCTCTGCTTGGCAGAGCCTTATGTCTCTCCTATGCCCACATTCATCTTGTTCTGAGGCTTATAAGCAATTTTGAATAAAATTAGCTTAAATTTTGGTTTATGTCATGTAGAATTTCTTGGGCAATTTCAAAGAATGAAGTATCAGGTTAACAATTTTTTTTTTACTGTATAAAAAACAGCTTTACTGAGATATAATTCACATACCATATAATTTACATAATTTAAAGTGCACAATTCAATGGTTTTTAGTATATTCACAGAGTTGTGCCACAATTACCATAATCAATTTCAGGACATTTTCATCACTTCAAAAGGAAACCCTGTACCCATTAACAGTCACTCACTATTTCTCCCCATATCCTTTACTTTATCCCTCATCTACAGGTCTAGGCAACCACCAATCTACTTTCTATTTATAAATTTTCCTACTCCGGACATTTGATACAAATGGAATCATACAGTATGCATTTTTTCTGGCTGGCTTCTTTCACTTACCATAATGTTTTAAATGTTCATTTATGTTGTAGCATGTATCAATTCATCATTTCTTTTATTGACAAATAATGTTTCATAGTATGGACATACCTTATTTATCTATTCATCAGTTGATGAGCATTAGGGTTGTTACCACTTTTTAGCTATTATAAATAATGCTGCTATAAGCATTAGTGTACAAGTTTTGTGTAGATGTATGTTTTTATATTTTATAGGAATGGAATTGCTAGATGACATGATAGTTCTAAGTTTAACTTTTTAAGGAGTTTCCAGACTGTTTTCCAAAGCAGCTGCACCAATTTATATTTCCTCCAAATGTGTATGAATGTTCCAAATTCTCTACGTTCTTTCCAACACTTATTGATTATGGTCATCCTATGGAGTGAAGTGGTTTTCATTTTGTAACCCAAATCACAGCGTCATGCAATATATCCATGTAATAAACCTGTACATGTACCCCTTGATTCTTAAATAAAAGCTGAAATTATAAAAATCAATTAATAAATAAGCAAAAACAGGGCTATTTGCCTTTTATGATTGAATAGCAGGAGTTTTAAAATTATTCTAGTCACTTATCAGATATATGATTTGCAAGTATTTTTTTCTATTTTATGGGTTATAGTTTCATTTTCTTGATGGTATTCTTTAATGCAAAAAAGTTTAAAATTTTGATGAAATATAATTTATCTAATTTTTTCCTTTGTCACTTGTACTTCAGTTAGCATAAAAAATCATCCCCTAATCCAAACTGTTAAAGTTTTACCTCTAAGTTTTTGAATAAGGGTTTTATAATTTTGCCCTACTCTTAGGTATTTTATTTATTTTGAATTAGGTTTTGTTTATCGTGGGAATAGGGGACCAATTACATCCTTGTACATGTGAATGTTTATTTGTTTCAACATCATTTGTTGAAAAGAGTACTCTTTCCCAATGAAATCATCTTGTCATCCTTGTTGAAAATCAGTTGCCCATATATTAATATTAATATGTATAAGTTTATTTACAGACTATCAACTATTCCATTGTTCACACTATCCAAAGTGATCTATGGATTCAATGCAATCACTATCAAAATTCAGATAACATTTTTTCATAGAAATAGGAAAAAATAACCTAAAACTTGTATGGAATCACTAAAGACCTCAAAGAGCCAAAGCAGTCAATCATAGGCAAAAAGAATAAGTTGAGGTATCATACTTACCAATTTCAAAATGAATTATAAAGCTATAGTAATCAAAACATTATAGTACTGGCATGAAAACAGACATATAGACTAATGGAAGAGAATAGAAAGCCCAGAAATAAATGCATGAATTTACAGTCACTTGATTTGTGAAAGGAAAATATCCTAGGCCCCCAAAGTCACTAAGCTAAAGGGAAAAGTCAAGCTGGGAACTGCTTAGGGCAAACCTGCCTCCTCATTCTATTCAAAGTCACCCCTCTGCTCACTGAGATGAATGCATCTCTAATTGCCTCAATTGGAGAGGCTAATAAGAAACTCAAAAGAATGCAAACATTTGTCTCTTATCTACCTATGACCTTGAAACCCCCTTCCCACTTTAAATTGTCCCACCATTCCAGACCAAACCAATATTCATCCTACATATGTTGATTGATGTCTCATGTCTCCCTGTGATGGTTAATACTGAGTGTCAACTTGATTGTACTGAAAGATACAAAGTATTGATTCTGGGTGTTTCTGTGAGGGTGTTGCCAAAGGAGATTAACATTTGAGTCAGTGGGCCGGGTAAGGCAGACCCACCCTTAATCCGGGTGGGTGAAATCTAATCAGCTGCCAGCAAGGCTAGAATATAAGCAGGCAGAAAAATATGAAAAGAGAGACGGGCCTAGCCTCCCAGCCTACATCTTTCTCCCATGCTAGATGCTTTCTGCCCTTGAACATCAGACTCCAAGTTCTTCATTTTTGGAATTTAGACTGGCTTTCTTTCCTCCTCAGCCTGCAGACAGCCTATTGTTGGACCTTCTGATAGTGTGAGTTAATACTTCATAAACTCCCACATATATATATATATATAAAATCATATATATATAAACACATATATATATGTTTCATTAGTTCTGTCCCTCTAGAGAACCCTGACTAATAAAGATTTTTGTACCAGGAGTGGTTCTAGAGGAACAGAATATTAAGGGTGGAGTTCTTTCATTGGTTTTAGGGTTTCTGGAGTTGGCTTCTTAATATAATTAGACACAAAAATGTTAAGGACTCTACTAATAGTATGGAGAACACTGATAGCCCTTGGCATGAACTGTTTAGACAGTTATGCAAAATAAATGCATTTGACACTCCTGATTCATTGCTCATGAGAAGCAAGGAGTTTGGTGACTCTCTACATAATACCTTTGACCATATGTGAACAATCAAGGAACATAATAAAGCTGGTTGGTTGCTCCTAAGTTCACTGGACAAAGTGATGAAAGAAAATAATGAACTCAGGGATTCTATCTCCCAGCTTCAGAAGCAGATACTGAGTCTAAAATCTACCAAGATTACCCTGAGTAAGAGTCTTATCTCCTGTGGAGAAAGAGCTGAAATTGTGGAAAAACAGACACAAGCTGTTATTGTGCAAGTGGCTGACCTATGCATAGCCTCACCAGGTGTCTACTCTCAAAGCGAGAGCATTGACTGAAGAATGGGACCCTGAAACTTGGAATGGGGGCGTGTGAGAGGACCCTGATGAAACTGGGGACACTGAATTTGTAAACTCTTATAAACCTTTTTTGCCAGAAGAAACAGCTTCTCCATTCCCAGTAGTGGCAACATCCCCTCCCCAACCCATGCTGCCATCAGCCTTTCCACTTTTGTCTGAGGAGATAAAACTTGTGCTGCCTGAAGCAACAGTGATGGCCTTCCCTGAGGCAGTTTCCAGGCAAGATAACATTGGTTTCTTCTCAGGAGCCACCCCCAACACCCCTGTTTGCCTCTAGACTTATAACTAGACTAAAGTACCTGCAGGCCCCTAGAGGTGAGGTTGAGAGTGTGACCTATGAGGAGGTGTGCTACACTTAAAAAGAACTGCCTGAGTTTTCCAATTTATATAAACACAAATCTGGAGAACGGTATGGGAATGGATATTAAGGGTGTGGGATAATGGTGGAAGGAACATAGAGTTGGGTCAGGCTGAATTTATTGATTTGGGCCCACTAAGTAGGGACTCTGCATTTAATGTTGCAGCTCAGGGAGTTAAAAAAGGTTCTAATAGTTTATTTGCTTGATTAGTTGAAATCTGGATAAAAGATGGCCCATTTTGAGTAAGCTGGAAATGCCTGATTTCCCTTGGTTTAATATAGAGGAAGGGATCAAAAGGCTTAGGGAGATTGGGATAGTGGAGTGGATTAGTCACTTTAGATCTACTCATCTCAGCCAGGAGGGCCCACAAGATATGCCCTTGATCAATTCCTTGTGAAATAGACTTCTGAGGGCAGCATCTGCATTTTTTAAGGACCCTGTAATTGCTCTTCTCTGTATGTCAGATCTAATAATGGGAACCACAGTCACTCAACTACAACATTTAAATACAATGGGAATAATTGGATCCATAGGTGGCAGGGGCCAAGTGGTGACACTCAATCATCAAAGGCAAGGTGGGTGTAATGGACAGCAGAGGCAAAGCAGCCATCAGAATAATCTGACTTGTGTAGAGCTCTGGTTTGGCTAATTAATCATGGTGTTCCTAGAAGTGAAATTGATAGGAAACCTACTGCATTTCTACTTAATTTATATAAGCAGAAAGCTTCTAGGTCGAACGGACAAAAGACTAATTTGAATTATAAAAACAAAGCATCATGGCCCCTCAATCAATTTCCAGACTTGAGCCAGTTTACAGACCCAGAACCCCTTGAATGAAGGAGAGGTCAGGTCACACTGAGAAAGGACTATACTACATTACCGACAATTTATGCAGTGAATCTTTCTCCCATTCTTCCCCCAAGGAGACCCCTGACCTTTTACCAGGGTAACTGTGTATTGGGGAAAGGGAAATGATCAGACATTTTGGGGACTATTGGACACTGGCTCTGAGCTGACATTGATTCCAGAAAACTCAAAATGTCATTGTGGTCTTCCAGCTAAAGTAGGGGCTTATGGAGGTCGGGTAATTAATGGAGTTTTAGCTCAGGTCCAACTTACAGTGTGTCCAGTGGGTCCCTAGACTCATCCTGTGGTCATTTCTCCAGTGCCAGAATGCATAATTGGTATAGACATACTTAGCAGCTGGCAGAACCCCCACATTGGCTCCCTGACTGGTAGAGTGAGATCTATTATGGTGGAAAAGGCCAAATGGAAGGCATTAGAACTGTCTCTACCTAGAAAAATAGTAAATCAAAAACAATATTACATCACTCAAGGGATTGCAGAGATTAGTGCCACCGTGAAGGACTTGAAAGACTCAGGGTGATGATTCCCACCACATCCCCATTCAACTCCCCCACTTGGCCTGTACAAAAGACAGATGGATCTTGGAGAATGACAGCGGATTATTGTAAGCTTAACCAAGTGGTGACTCCAATTGCAGCTGCTATATCAGATGTGGTTTTATTGCTTGAGCAAATTAACCTATCTCCTGGTATCTGGTATGCAGACATTTACTTGGCAAATACCTTTTTCTCTATTCCTGTCCATAAGGCCCAGCAGAAGCAATTTGCCTTCAGCTGGCAAGGCATTACTGTCCTACCTCAGGGCTATATCAACTCTCCAGCTTTGTGTCATAATCTAATTTGGAGAGACCTTGATTAGTTTTCACTTCTGCAAGATATCACACTGGTCCTTTGCATTGATGACATTATGCTGATTGGATCCAGTGAGCAAAAAGTAGCAAACACACTGGACTTATTGGTGAGATATTTGCATGCCAGAGGATGGAAAATACATCCAGCCAAAATTCAGGGACCTTCTACCTCAGTAAAGTTTCTAGGGGTCCAGTGGTGTGGGGCATGTCAAGATATTCCTTTTAAGATGAAGGATAAGTTGCTGCATTTAGCCCCTCCTACAACCAAGAAAGAGGCACAACACCTAGTGGGCCTATTTGGATTTTGGAGGCAACACATTCCTCATTTAGGTATGTTACTTTGTCCCATTGATCAAGTGACTTGAAAGACTGCCTGTTTTGAGTGGGGTCCAGAACAGGAGAAGGCTCTGCAACAGGTCCAGGCTGCTGTGCAAGCTGCTTTGCCACTTGAACCATAGGACCCAGCAGATCCAATGGTGCTTGAAGTGTCAATGGCAGAAAGAGACGCTGTTTGGAGCCTTTGGCAGGCTCCCATAGGTGAATCACAATGGAGGCCTCCAGGATTTTTGAGCAAGTCCCTGCCATCTTCTGCAGATAACTACTCTCCTTTTGAGAGACAGCTCTTGGCCTGTTACTGGGCTTAGGGGAAATTGAAAATTTGACTATGGATTATCAAGTCACCATGTGACCTGAACTGCCTATCATGAACTGGGTGCTTTCTGACCCATCTAGCCATAAAGTGAGTCATGCACAGCAGCATTCCATCATCAAACACAAGTGATATATTCATGATCAGGCTCGAGCAGTTCCTGAAGGCACAAGTAAGTTACATGAGAAGGTGGCTCAAATGCTCATGGTCTCCACTCCTGCCACCCTGCCTTCTCTCCCCCAGCCTGCACTAATGACCTCATGAGGAGGTCCCTATTCTCATTTGACAGAGGAAGAGAAGACTAGGGCCTGGTCACAGGTGGTTCTGCACGATACGCAGGCACCACCCGAAAGTGGACAGCTGCAGCACTACAGCCCCTTTCTAGGACATCGCTGAAGGGCAGCAATGAAGAGAAATCTTCCCAGTGGGCAGAACTTTGAGCAGTGCACCTGGTTGTGCACTTTGCATGAAAGGAGAAATGGCCAGATGTAGGAGTATATATTGATTCATTGGTTGTAGCCAATGGTTTGGCTGGATGGTCAGGGACTTGGAAGAAGCATGATTGGAAAATTGGTGATAGAGAAATTTGGGGAAGAAATATGTGGATGGATTTCTCTGAATGGTCAAGAACTATGATAATATTTGTATCTCATGTGAGTGCTCACCGATGGGTGACCTCAGCAGAGGAGGATTTTAATAATCAACTGGATAGGATGACCTGTTCTGTGGACACTACTCAGCCTCTTTCCACAAACACCTCTGTCATTGCTCAATGGGCCCATGAACAAAGTGGCCATGGTGGCAGGGATGGAGCTTACACATGGGCTCAGCAACATAGACTTCCACTCACCAAGGCTGACCTGGCTATGGCCAGTGTCGAGTGCCCAGTTTGCCAGCAGCAGAGACCAACACTGAGCCCTTGATATGGCACCATTCCTTGGGGTGATCAGCCAGCTACCTAGTAGCAGGTTGATTATATTGGAACTCTTCCATCATGGAAAGGGCAGAGGTTTGTCCTCACTGGAATAGACACTTACTCCTGATATAGGTTTGCGTATCCTGCAAGCAATGCTTCTGCCAAGACTACCATCTGTGGACTCACAGAGTGCCTTATCCACCATCATAGTATTCCGCACATCATTGCCTCTGACCAAGGCACTCACATTACAACTAAAGAAGTGCAGCAGTGGGCTCATACTCATGGAATTCACTGGTCTTACCATGTTCCCCATCATCCTGAAGCAGCTGGATTAATTGGATGGTGGAATGGCCTTTTGAAGTCACAATTACAATGCCAACTAGGTGACAATACTTTGCAGGGCTGGGACAAAGTTCTCCAGAAGGCCATGTATGCTCTGAAGCAGTGTCCAATATATGGTACTATTTCTCCCGTAGCCAGGATTTATGGGTCCAGGAATCAAGGGGTGGACCAGGAATCACCCATAGTGATCCACTAGCAAAATTTTTGCTTCTTGTTTTCATGACATTAAGTTCTGGTGGCCTAGAGGTCTTAGTTCCAGAGGGAGGGATGCTGCCACCAGGAGACACAACAATGATTCCATTAAACTGGAAGTTAAAATTGCCACCTGGACACTTTGGGCTCCTCCGACCTTTAAGTCAACAGGCTAAGAAGGGAGTTACAGTGTTGGCTGGGGTGACTGACTGACCCGGACTATCAAGATGAAATCAGTTTACTACTCTACAATGGCAGTAAGGAAGACTATGCATGGAATACAGGAGATCCATTAGGGCATCTCTTAGTATTACCATGCCCCGTGATTAAGGTCAATGGGAAACTACAACAGCCCAATTCAGGCAGGACTACAAATGACTCAGACCCTTCAGGAATGAAGGTTTGGGTTACTCCACCAGGAAAAAAACCATGACCTGCTGAGGTGCTTGCTGAAGGCAAAGATAATACAGAATGGGTAGTAGAAGAAGGTAGTTATCAATACCAGCTACGACCACGTGACCAGTTGTATCAATGAGGACTGAAATTCTCATGAGAGTTTCCTCCTTCTTTTGTCAAAAACATGTTTGTGCATGTATACACTTGTACTAAGAAAATATCTTCATTTTATTTCCTTTCTCTTTTATCATGTGCCATAAGATTTATTGACTTCATATCAGCATTTAAGTATTTTTAACGTTAAGTAATAGTATTTTGGTTGGGGACTGGTGTTTCTGGTTGTGTGAAGGATAGTTGTATCATGTTAGGCATAATTATGACCTTCTTAATGTCTTTATTTGAAGATTATGTATGATCTCAGGAAATGTATATGGGTTCAAGTTGACAATGGGTGGACTTGTGGTGGTTAATACTGAGTGTCAACTTGATTGGATTGAAGGATGCAAAATACTGATCCTGGGTGTGTCTGTGAGGGTGTTGCCAAAGGAGATTAACATTTGAGCCAGTGGGCTGGAAAAGGCAGACCCTCCCTTAATCTGAGTGGGCACAATCTAATAAGCTGCCAGTGAGGCTAGAATATAAGCAAGCAGAAAAATATGAAAAGAGAGTCTGGTCTAGCCTCCCAGCCTACATCTTTCTCCCATGCTGGATCCTTCCTGCCCTGGAACATCAGACTCCAAGTTCTTCAGTTTTGGAACTCAGACTGGCTCTTCTTGCTCCTCAGCCTGCAGACAGCCTATTGTTGGACCTTCTGATTGTGTGAGTTAATACTTAATAAACTCGTATATATATATATATATTAGGGACAGAACTAATATATATAAATATAATTAGTTCTGTCCATCTAGAGAACTCTAATACACTCCCTAAAATGTGTAAAACCAAACTGCTCTGACCACCTTGGGCACATGTCATCAGGACCTCCCAAGGCTGTGTCAGGGGTGCATGTCCTCAACCTTGGCAAAATAAACTTTCTAAACTAACTGAAACCTTTCTCAGATATTTGGAGTTCACATTTTGGTAACCCAATGGGATTCTGAGTGTAGGTGCCCCTGACTTTTGACAAATCCTCTATTGGTGCTTGGTACCAGCTTGTACTATCTTTATGGCTCAAACCAATAGGACAATTTGTGGAGGCCTGGAAGTACCACTTCCAAAGAATCCCTGATCTCCCAAAATTCGGTAGAGATCTAAAGTTTACTTTGCTATATGACTCTTTTTTTTTTTTTGGAGTTTTACTTGCTTCCAATACAAGGTAGGCAAGTTTTCTGTGACAATGGAGTCAGGTAACTCCTTTACGGAGTTTGAGCTTGCTTTCAACAGGGAAGATGAGGGTTTTTTTTCTGCTTCTAGGATGGTAAAGAGCCATCTTCAGCCTGAGACCCATCCCTAAGTAAGTAACTGAATTGGGGTTTGCCTTTTCTAAAGTTAAGATTGACAACCAGCTGGTCTTAATTTATCCTTATCATTAGAGACCTCAGTAATCATATGGGTTGGGCAATCATTTGTTTTACTTAACTTTTTTTTTGGTTGTTATTTCTGTTTTTGTTTTTGTTTTGGTCTTTTTCCCATTGGGTTTGATCAACTCCACCCTACTTGATTAAATCTGAACTATCTGACTTGATCAAATCCAAAGAAGTTCCTAATTATGAGAAACAAGGCCTCTGAAGTTGCTAAATTCCTACACACACACACACACACACACACGAAGGTGGTGTGGTAGGGAGAGAATAAAGGCCAGCGAAAGGAAATAAAAGATTTTTTATTTTGCCTACTAAGGGGCTTTATTTACATAACAAGGCTATGTTTTTGCTAGCCAGGCCAAACTGAAATAGCAATGGCTGTGCTTCTGAAATAGCAGCAATTTGTCCTAGCTGAAGTATGGTAATGAGATTTAAAAAAATATTTTAAAAGAAGATCAATGGTTAAAAGTCAACTTAATTAAAAGCTAACATCCAAGATGTGTGTGTATATGTGCATATCTGATTGCCTCCTTTGGAAAGGCTAATCAGAAACTCAGAAGAATGCAACAATTTGTCTCTCACCTACCTGTGCCCTGAAGCCCCCTCCCTGTTTTGAGTTGTCCAGCTTTTGCTTCAAGTTGTCCCACCTTTCTGGAGCAAACCAATGTTCATTTTACGTATGTTGATTGATGTTTCATGTCTCCCTGAAATGTATAAAACCAAGCTGTGCTCTTATCACCTTGGCCGCATGTTGGCAGAACCTCCTGAGGCTGTGTTCCAGGCATGGGTCCTCAACCTTGGCAAAACAAACTTTCTAAATTAACTGTGAACTGTCTCAGATTTTTGGGGTTCACAAACATAAGGTGTCAAAATTTGGCACAAGGGTTACAAAACTATAAACCCAGCTGAAGACAGAATGATCTTTGCTTGTGTAATCTTTAATAAATAAGATGTTAATATTGATTTGATAAAAATAGCTCCATCTTGAATTTAGTAAGATTACTATAACTTCTAATCTTGTGGCTTTAGGCAGTTTAGTCCACAGGCAGTGAGCTTTGTTTTGGAGAAGGACTGTTATCATCTTTGTTTCAAAGCTAAAATATGAACTATGTTCCTCCCACGGTTAGTTGGGCCCATTCCCAGGAATTAACAAGAATGGCTTGGAGGTTAGAAGGAAGATAGACTCAGGTCAAATCTTTTTCACTGTCTCAGTTATAATTTTGCAATGGCAGTTCCATAACTTTAAATAATGACAATCACAGTTTTTATGAATAATCCAGATAAATGATTAAATTAAAATAATTAGGTAAATGTAATAGGATAAATACTTGTAGAGAAACTCATAATTTAGAAACTAAATTTATATTAAATAAAATAATAAATAATTTATTATTTGGGTATTTTCCAATAAAAATATATTTCTAGGAAAACATTTTTTCCTAAAAAAAGTGTGTCCTTTTTAAAAAGGTGAACATTTTTGTCTAATTCAAAGCTTATTTAAAGGTCATGATTAAACAAGGTAACAGGAACCAGGAAATAAAAAAGATGTGAAGAAAGTTATGACAATAGATTTCTTTTTTTTTTTTGGTAAGAAAGCTTAGAGAGAAATACTTTCATATGAGAAAGAATCTTGTACGGTAAATTTAGCTCTAGAGTAAAATGAATGGTTGCTTAAGTTCAGGATCAACCGGAAAGTCCAAGCATGTCACGAATGGTCTGTTTATGTCACAATAATAGGATTTATTTTAAAAAAAAAAGAAAAACTTTTATACGATCAAGTTATCCATGATTAAAGAGAAATTATAATGGTCTTTCTAGAGATTGGGTTTGATTAAAAAACACTTATACACTAAAGAATTGGTTAGAACAATAAAATTTTCCTAAGGGGTTGGTTTACTCTTAATAAATTATAAAAGATTTTAATTTATTTTAACCCAAAGTTCAACTTTTATTCCATTGCACTGGTTTTGGTTTTCTCTCCTCTTTCAAAACGTGTGAAATAGTAACATTCCCCTTCAAGTCATTTTCAGTTCATGCAGGTTTTTTTATTTTTTTCCTGCTTGGATTCTGTTTTTTGTGGCATAATGCTAACAATATTTTCTTAAAGGCCTAAAGGAAATGTTTTCTTCCAACATAATATTCTGTGCACTTCAAAAGGTCTTTTCTTTTGCCTTGTGGTAACTGACCTTGAGGTGAGAAATTAAAGAAATAAAGAAAAATAAAATTAAAAAGAGAAAGAAATAAGCTTTCCTGTATTAGGCTGACTTGTCCCAGAGGCAGCAATGGGCACAGCCCAGACCCAGGGAAAGTCTTGATAATACTTTCTGAGAAGCTAGGACACAAAGGAATGTGCTCTGGAGACTCTCCCAGCACTCCCTCAACATAGGGAGAAGAAAACAAATTTTCCTGTTTTATGGTATGAGTTTATAAATTCTTGTTCTCTGTAACTAGTAAATTCAAGTATTCTGTTTTATCTAAGAAGTACAGTGAAGGTCATGAGAAGCCTGAGCAAGCCTGAACTACAGCTTTCTGGGCACCATAGTGAAGGTTGTGACATAAACCAGTAAAAGGCTCTTTAGAGCAAAACATAAATAACAGACATCTGGGGTGCTTGGCAATGGTCATGTGTAATCCTGAGTTATGAACCTGTTACAGTTTGATTAACTGTCTTTGTTCTGCATCTGTATCCCTGCTTTTGCATCACCATAAGCCTGCTTCAAGCTAGTTCACCCCCTTTTTGAAGTGTGTATAAAAGTCAAGTGCTGTCTTTGTTCTGGGCCCAGTCTTTGGATGTTAAGTCCGCTGGGCCTAAGTACACTCAATAAAAATATCCTCCTGTATACACCTGAAGGTCTCTCTCTGGTCCTCCTGATCCCACAACAACCTAACAGATTTTATATTTCATCAAAATAATTCCTATTCCATTATTATTAAGTTTGGTTTGCTTGGGAAAAACTGAGATTAAATTTTTTTAAAATTAGGATTATTACATCCTTGTAACTTCCTATATGTGCTTTTAAATTCCTTGTGACATTGAGTTACCGGGCTTTGACTCCTGGGTCTAAAACGAACACCAAGTCCTGCTAAATCTTAAACACTGAAAGCAATTAAACCCTCATCTTCAGGCCTGGTAGAAGATGTCAATCAAAGTAAACTGCCTTCCTAAAACACAGGGCCAGAAATTAAAGCTCTTTAATTCCTCAAGGCCGAGTGACTATCACAGAAGACATAGGTGTATGAGATTGTAACGGCTGATTTTGAGAGATAAAATAAGTTCAGTTTCTCTATAAATTAATCATTAATGTCAAAGGCATACTGATGCAAGACCAGCATATGGGCCCTGATGTCAGATTAACAAGGTTTTCTCAAAGCATTAATGGACTCCTTAATAAAGGTTATAAAGGCTTATGGAAGTTATATCCTATGATCAAGATGAAAATTTTATAGATTGTTTATAAAATTTTGGAAAACAAATTTAATTGACTTCATGCTTTTTTTTTTAGGTCTTATTGTTTGGGAAATTAAGTCTCCTCTCTCAAAGAATAAAGGCTTTCACCATTTTTTGAAATCCTTGAGTTATCACTTTGGTTAAATGAATGACTAATTTTACTACGGCCTGTGATCCTGTTTTGTAACATCAACTGTTTTAAACAATTGATGTTTGACAAATTTTCCAAAATCAAATTATAAATTATGTCTTTTTCTGACCGAATTAATCCTTTAAGATATTATTAATAGGCTCCCTAAAGTCCAAAAATGACATATTTGGCTTATTTGGCATAAAAATTTTACAGGAAGCATTATCAAACATAAAACCGTGTTTGGTTTTCTTTGTGCTGTATTTGTATAAATATGGTATTGGTATGTATTCCAAAATTATGGGAAACTCCTATAATTCTGATAGGACTTAATGTACAATATCAGTAATAATTGTAATGGTTATGTTAAATTATTGTGTGTCACGGAGGTAACAAACTTCCTTGTCAATTGTGTCTTTGGCTATGGCTGCCCTAAAACTTTTTGTCATACATGGACAGTTGTCTTGTTTTGGTCCTCTTTAGAAGGTGGTTTTATAATCATCTATAAAACTGATTGCAGGTTTCTAATAACTTTGGAGATTGTGACATCAGAATAGAGGAAAAACTTTTAGTACTCATGGAGAGCTGAAATGTTCAAAAATATCATGTAGAACAGGAAATAACTGCATGGACTAAACTAATAGAAGTCTGAAGTAATTTTTTAACTTTTTGCTTAAAACGTTGCTGATCCTTTGTTTTGTTTTTTCAGAGTCAAGAAAACTTCTTTTTAAGCTATTTACAGCTTTTAACAATTGAGTAAATTATACTCCTATGAACAAAATTTGGAGCATATTTGTTTCTCTCTACCTGATTTCTACAGAATTTGGAAACTATTTGTGAGTATTCTTAACTTATAACAATACAGTTATTTACATAAGTGCAGGAAGAATCTGTTTTCATTTGTAACCGGGCACAACTGGAGAAACTGATTATTTCACCAAGGCTTCGACTGGAATGGTGTGCTTTCCTTTAAGCAATTAAATTTGACTTATGAAGACAATAAAAGCCACTTGGAAAAACTGGTTTCATACCCTGTCAAAACAGTGCCTGTACAGGGTTGTGACATGTGATAAGTAAAGAATGTCACTTTCTGACAGGCCCAGGATCCCCAAGTTTATCTTGGAACCTCAAAAGGAAAGGAATTTACCAAACTTCTAGGTATTTAATGGTACAAATCCATGGCTGGGCTCAGCTTTAAAAAAGTCTTATCTGAGATTCTTTCTATGGAACAAAATTCCCTCAAAGCCAATTTAAAAGCCTGTGTAAAAAATAATTATTCTTGCTGCACTGTATAAAAATAATTAGGCCAAATATAATAAAGCATACCAGTCCTACTATGATTTGTCTTTAGTAAAAATGGGCAACTGGGGAGAGAAAAATTATGTTTCAAAAACTATAGTACACCTGTTGTTAGGTTCTAGTCTTGCCCAATGTTTTTCAATTTTTATTATTTTCTACACTTTGGATCAAATGCTAATTTTTCTTGCCTACAAGTCTTCAAAATAGTGTTTTCAATTTTTTTCCTTCTTTTCCCCCCCATTTTTCCTAATTTGGAGTCACTGAAAACTAAGCTGTGCTTTTGTAAAGCCCTGCGAATTGAAGCTAGACAACTTCAACTTCAGAAGAAGATAACAGCAACCTATTTACACACATAAGCTACTTTCTTTTTTTTTTTTTTGAGATGGATTCTCCTTCTATTTCCCAGGCTGGAGTGCAGTGGTGCAATCTCAGCTCACTGCAACCTCCACCTCCTGGGTTCAAGCAATTCTGCTTCAGCCTCCCAAGTAGCTGGGACTACAGGTGCATGCCACCATACCCAGCTAGTGTTTTTTGTATTTTTAGTAGAGACAGGGTTTTACCATATTGGCCAGGCTGGCCTCGAACTCTTGACCTTGTGATCCACCTTCCTTGGCCTCCCAAAATGTTGTGATTACAGGTGTGAGCCACCTTGCCTGGCCATATGCCACTTTCTTTTTTTTTTTTTTTTTATTATTTCACATCTTTTTTTTTTACTTTGAGTTTTAGGGTACATGTGCACAATGTGCAGGTTAGTTACATATGTATACATGTGCCATGTTGGTGTGCTGCACCCATTAACTCGTCATTTAACATTAGGTATATCTCCTAATGCTATCCCCCCTCCCCCTCCCCCACAACAGGCCCTGGTGTGCAATGTTCCCCTTCCTGTGTCCATGTGTTCTCATTGTTCAATTCCCACCTATGAGTGAGAACATGCAGTGTTTGGTTTTATGTCCTTGCAATAGTTTGCTGAGAATGATGGCTTCCAGCTTCATCCATGTACCTACAAAAGACATGACTCATCATTTTTTATGGCTGCATAGGATTCCATGGTGTATATGTGCCACATTTTCTTAATCCAGTCTATCATTGTTGGACATTTGGGTTGGTTCCAAGTCTTTGCTATTGTGAATAGTGCCACAATAAACATAAGTGTGCATGTGTCTTTATAGCAGCAGGATTTATAATCCTTTGGGTATATACCCAGTAATGGGATGGCTGGGTCAAATGGTATTTCTAGTTCTAGATCCCTGAGGAATCACCACATTGACTTCCACAATGGTTGAACTAGTTTACAGTCCCACCAACAGTATAAAAGTGTCCCTATTTCTCTACA